>NC_000004.12:180133502-180436532 GCF_000001405.40 Homo sapiens | reverse complement strand
ATTTTCTAGCACATTGCTTAGTTCAGCAGCCCCTCCAATCTCAATGAGGCCATTCTGACTCAATTGTTTGTTCTCTTCTTTCTCTTATAGAAATTTGTATTTTGCTTTGAAAGGCCGCTTTCTTACTCAAGACCATCCAACTCCCCATAGGGACTCCTCTCCTTACACACACTCCTGTGATTAGGATATTGTTGTCTCATCTTCAGACTGAATACATTGTTCAGGATTTGTTTATTTTATAGGATAAATTCCAAGTGTTACTCAGCAACAACCTTCATATTGCTATAGTCTCCTTCCAACTAAGGATATTCTTAAATCTACATGTGGATTCCAGGGAATATTTGAGTACTTTTTAAAATGTGATTTTACAAGAATTAGTGGATCACAATACAGATCAAATTTGAAAATGATTTTCACAAAAGACCACATAGAGAGGTTGTTTCTGAAAGTGTTAATCCATGCAGCATTGTAAATGCTTTCTGCCAGCATTTGGTTGTTCTAATAATATTGTTTATTGTCACAGGTTTTTAAAAAATCTATAAATATATTTTTAATTATGTAGAAATATTATACCATATGTAGCTAGCTGTCACTCTTCCTGCATGTATATGTTAAAGAAGAAGTTGAAAATTGAATATTTAGCTTGGATATCATGAGTTTAATCATGAGAGTTTAACACAAAAACAAAAGGCAACTAACCAGGGGAAAAAAAACCCCACTTCAATCCCTTTATTGTAAATCACAAGTTAATGAATCTATTATAAATTCACAGACTTTATCTTGCTAATTAAAAGAAATCATTAATCCTAGACTACTAAGTGAATTCATCAAATTATAACAGAAAACCAAGTATAAAAACTGACCAAGCATTAAGAGATACTCTGAAAGCATTATCTATATTGCCCAAATCTCTGCATTTGTGAAGTTTATTCACTAATCCTATTAGTTTCTGATTATGGGCTGTTAAAATAAGAAGTAATATATTACTATAATAAATGTTTGATGTTAGTAACCAATAATTATTTCCAAAGAATTTTTAATTAACCAGTAGCCTTATAAACCACAAGGCAAGGCAAATTAAATACTACTTTAGTAAAAAAAATATTTCTTTAAGTGCTTATTTTTTACAAGAAGGTAAATCATTAAAAGCAACTGAAAATGGACTTCTCAATTTGAAAGTCATAGCCGATAGAATTGAAAATATGTAGTATTTTCATTATTTTCTGAAAACACTTGTTAAGTCCCTATGGTACTGACTCACTTTCAAATTTCTGAATGTCTACCAGAATGAGACACTCTTGTGCTGAAAATCCACTGGAGAATTATCCTCGATATAGGATAGCAATATCTATCCCATTGTTTCATTCAGATGTAAATGTGTATACATTTCCTCTGCATTCTTGCCTTCAGGGAAGCTTTATTTTGGCATAATAAATGTTTGAAAATACTTCCTAATAGCATACAGCTTTTATTCTAGCTATGGACAACTGTATAGGAAATATATTTTAACTGGTTAAAAAAAACCCTTTCAGACTCTGTATTGTCAAACACACATTAGGTGAAAAGCATGAAAAATGCTATTTAAAGGCATGCTCAGGGGCTAACTGCAAGCTTGCTTTCCCCTGACACAATCAACTACTCTTTGTCTTTCTATGTGTATGTGTGTTTATATAATATATATAGCTCGTCCTCTGCAAGAAAGACGCTGTCAAAAAGGGGTGGGGAGCCTCAGAAATCATTCGCAGTGTAGATTTACCAACATGGTTTCAGTTTATGTCTTCCCCAAGGCAATAACTCTGTGCAGATGTTGAGGAAACCAACTTCCTACAGTGTTTGAAACACAAATCATTAACTTGTTACCAGTCTACATGGGAAGTCAGAATACAAAACAGCTTAAATATGTTAACTTAGATGCAGTCAAGCTTGTTCCCATTCATTTGAACTACTGAGAAGTCAGTACAAAATCCACAAACTTCCTATGCCTTGGAGGATTGCTTTATTCTCTGAAGAATACACTACTATGTCTGAATACATTCTCCAGATATTTGTACAATTCAACAATTTGATAGACACATTCATAGTGAGAAAAAAATGTAACAATTCAATATTATAAAACAAGGAACACAAAATCTTATTGGACAGAACCTAATAAAAGATGTCATTGTTCAACTCATTACTCAGATAATGTGGTAAACATTTCTAATGCCTCACCACCATTGAAGTGACTCAGCCCACTCAGGTTAATTCATTCAGGTAACTATTATTTGTTAAGTGCCTATTATTTTCTGGATAACTCAAGTTCAAACAACATGAGTTTTCATGAGCAGAAAAATAAAAACTCTCTTATATTCTAGTTTGCAGAAAGAAGTAGTAAAATAAAATAAGTAAAACCTATAGAATTGGTGATAAGTAAAACTTAAAAGAGAAGTAGAGTGGGAGAAATCGTGTTGAATAGTGTGAAATAGCGTTGAAATAGTGTTTTCAACGGGCAGGCCTCACTGAGATGGTGGAATTTGAGAACAGATCTTACTGAGAAATAAGCCAAAGGGATATCTGGGGAAGAATATTCCAGGAAGAGGGAAGAGACTGGGTGAAATTCTTGAGATCGAACAATAGCACCCCACTTACTTTCTATATAGCTTATTTATCCACTGAACATTAGAGTTCTTAGGACTAGTATAGCATGAGGTAATTGTGGTGGTTAAAGGAAGAATACCTGTAAAGAACTTTGCCCAGAACCTGGAAAGTAACTGATTACATTTTAGAAATTGTCATAAACTGATGATACGTTAAAATTACTTATTCTTCCAATCTTCCCCAGAGACATTATCAATGTCCACAGCCACTTATCAAGCAACTGAGACATGTGCTAGGGAAACCAAAGCATGACAAATGTGTCCTGAATTCTAGGATTTCTGCTCGATGAATACGACAACAAATGCATGCATGACCAATGCACATATAACAGAAAGGCAAAGTTAGAATATTAAGAAAGTGGGGGCCTGGTACGGTGGCTCACACCTGTAATCCCAGCAGTTTGGGAGGCCGAGGCAGGCAGATCACGAGGTCAGGAAATCGAGACCATCCTGGCTAACGTGATGAAACCCTGTCTCTACTAAAAATACAAGAAAATTAGCTGGGCGTGGTGGCGGGCGCCTGTAGTCCCAGGCTGAGGCAGGAGAATCGCGTGAACCCGGGAGGCGGAGCTTGCAATGAGCCGAGATCACGCCACTGCACACCAGCCTGGGCGACAGAGCAAGACTCTGTCTTAAAAAAAAAAAAAAAAAGAAAGAAAGAAAGAAAGAAAGAAATTGGGGCTGGGTGCAGTGGCTCACGCCTGTAATCCCAGCACTTTCGGAGGCTGAGGCAGGCGGATCCCCTGAGGTCAGGACTTCAACATCAGCCTGGCCAACATGGTGAAACCCCGACTCTACTAAAAATACAAAAATTAGCCAGGCGTGGTAGTGTAGGCCTGTAATCCCAGCTACTAGGGAGGCCGAGGCAGGAGAATTGCTTGAACTCGGGGGCGGAGGTTGCGGTTTGCGGAAACTGCGCCACCGCACTCCCGCCTGGCCGACACAGCAAGATTCCGTCTCGAAAAAAAAAAAGAAAGAAAGAAAAAAAAGAAATTGGTTGAAATAATACTATGAATATTTGCAGTTAGTCTTCTAACCATGCTTGAAACAACTGCAATTTTTAAATACTGTCTTATATGGTGCAGTGAAGTTTGAAACTGATGACAAAATTCACCCACATTTCTTTACCGGACCTTCATGTAGTAGTACATCTATAGATTATGTGTAGTATACTAAAACTCAGAAGTGTTGCCAAGAGAATTTCTCCTTTGTTCACAGAAATTTCTTGTTGCCTATGTTTTTCTTATCATACTATGACTGAAGGCATCAATTCCTCATTTCTAGACTAATAGGAAAGCCTCACAAAATCAATATCCGTATTATCAATTGGAGCTTGGTGGTCAGATATAGATCCACAGTCTTTGCAGACATTGCTCCATTTTTGAAGAAAAACAAAGTATTCAAATTTATAGTACAAATACTATCCCACCTTTCAAGGATACTAATCTACTATTGACTTGGGAGGGACTGATTATTACTGAAAGAAAGTCAAATAATTTCTTCTTTACTTGAAACATAGCGCCTCAAACTGCAGCTCACTACCAATATGTACTTTCTTCATATTGAAGGTAAGACAATATTTCGCCTTCACAGAGAGAAAAGACATAGGAATTCTGCAGAACGCTCAAGGTGAAGAGACAGAACTTGAAAATCCTGAAGACAGAGGAAGAGCAGAATAATAAGACTTATTATACAGTCAATTATTTTCTCACCATGAATTAACATGAATTCAAACCAAAAAGAGCATTTCAAATGAACAGAGGACACACACATATTTGCAAAATGCCCTAAAATGACTCCTCTTGAATAGTAGTCGAAAGAGGCACCTATTTCTATGCAGATTTGTGTGGCACCTAGCGCTTTGCTGTACTTAATACTTTATGTTCAATATAGGTAAAAGGTGAATAATGCCTTTGTCAGTATCCACTAAAATGAAGATAGATCTCCTCTCCAGGAATATTGTAGCTGGGCTAAATATTTTATGGCAGAAGATTAGGGAGCTGTCTCACATCGTACACATCGTGGTCAAAGTGGAGAACGTCTTCCTACCCCTGAAGGAATTCCTTCCAGGTGCAGGCATATGGATAAACAGAACAATCCCGACTGTGCCCTGCCCCGTTCCCCCGCCACAGAGGAGGTAGTTGAATGGTTAGACCAGTGGACTTGGGAAAAATAAACTGTGCTGCACTGAGCGCCGTATTTATCCTTCTCATGAGCCATCCTCTACGGGGAGAAAGAATTTAGTATTCCACTGGTGTAGGTTCCTCTTGACTAATTAATAAAAAAATACGTTTTGGCCACAATGTGCCATATTTGGTTTTATTTCTCAATTGTTGGGAAGCTTGTATGGGGAAGATAGTTGCAACTTACGGGGTCTTTTCAGAGGCCTCAACGATCCTGGCCCTGTGTCTGTGGCTATCTGGCCATCGTAATTTACCTAAAGAGAACATCTGTATAGCGGAAGGTATTTCCAGGGACAGAAGAGGCACTGTCCTAATGCTACGTGTCAAGACATGACCCGGTGAATTACCATAGTAATAACAATGATTTAACATTAATTGCGGGCTTACTGTTTGAAAAGAATGGTTTTAAATACTGTATTTGTAGTGACCCACTTAAGTTCCCACAACAACTATCTTATAGATGATAAAACGGAAACACAGAGAAGCTGAGTGACTTGCAAAGTTCAATCAGAGAAGGGTAAAAGCATTTGGATCCAGAAAGCCTTGCTCTAAAGCAGCACCCTCGAACGCCTTGCTATACAACAACTGACAAGAACAGAAATGCCACACCATGGCCTGAAGGCCTGAGCACAGGGAGTAAGGGCGGCACCTGGTCCCGCCCCAGGGGCAGCTCTGCAAGGTTGCCCTTCTTTGATGGAGTATCCGAGGCCTCCCTAAAAGGACCAGTTGATTGCCACTGATGTGAACCGATTCAAAGCGAGATCAAAAAACGATAAAGGACCTCATAAGAAATTTAAAATCCGGCCGGGCGCCTTGGCTCATGCCTGCAATGCCAGCACTTTGGGAGGTCAAAGCGGGCGGATCACGAGGTCAGGAGTTCGAGACCAGCCTGACCAACATGGCGGAATAAAATACAAAAATTAATATACTAAAATTATACAAAATTACACAAAAATTATACAAAAATTAAAATATTAAAAATTCAAAAATTAGCTGGGCATGGTGGCATGCACCTGTAGTCCCAGCTACTCCGGAGGCTGAGGCAGGAGTATTGCTTGAACATGAGAGGCGGAGGTTGCAGTGAGCTGAGATCCTGCCATTGCACTCCAGCCTAGGCGACAGAATGAGACCCTGTATCAAAAAAAAAAATGTTTAAAATCCTTCCTTCCTCACTCACGCATGCTTCACATGTTTATAAAGCACACAGGGCGAGCCTGGGGATGCCAAAGATGACTGATTTCCTCATAAAGAGAGCCGGTCAGGCTGACAGCTGGAAAGAGCTCTCTGGACCATTCAGCTGAATGAAATTGGAGAAATTTTCTCTGAGTTCTGGAAGAGAGACCAGGCCTTCCATGGTTTGAATGTGGCCTCACTAAAATTCAGGTGTTGAGGACGTGCTAGTATTAATGAGGGTGGAATGGGGTGCTTTTAAGAGGTGATTAGGTCATGGGGCTCCTCCCTGTAGGATTAGTGCCTTTTTGAGAGGGTTTGATGGACGGAATTTGCTCCTTTTGCCCTTTCACCTCTGCTGTGTGAGGCAGCTGCATGGAGGCCCTCACCAATACCAATGCATCGATCTTGGACCTTACAGCTTCTATTAATATAATTGTGAGAAAAAAAAATCTGTTATTTGTAAATTATCCAGCCTAAGGCATTCTGTTATAGCAGCAGGAACAGGTTAAGACATGGGCCTAGTGTCTTAAAAGGCAGAGTCCCCTGTTAGGTATTTATTATTAGCATATGGCATTTAATATATTAAAATGTTCGATGAAAGGTATGATTTCATTTTAAAAAGTTCAACTGTAATGGACCCATAGGATGAAAATTAGTAATCAGTTGGGCTAAAACTCACCAAAGAGAGCCTGATTCTCAAAGCAGTCCGCACAAAAAATGCAATATGATGTTTTGTTTTATATTGTTGCTTGAAAAAAAAATACATGTGCATTGTGTTGGGCAATTATTTGAGGTGAAAAGTATACTAGGGAATGAAAACGTTATAAATATATTCCAAATATTTGAAAGATTTTGCATTTGTTTCCTAGTTTATACCTGTTTTAGTGCTCCTATGAAGTGTTAATGAGGTAATTTTTATAAGCACAAAGGCAGAAGAATTCACGTAAAACAAATATGCTTTGTCTGCATGAATGCTAATCTTGAGGTCACTATCCTAGCAGAAAATTTATCAATTCAAATATGCTAAGGTGCTTGTCCAGAACACTCTTCTTTAGTAACATAGGGAGATACTAAGTGACACAACCTGATGTTTAGAGAAAACAAAAGAGCCACAGGCAGGATCATATCTAAGACATGTTTCTGATTGTAGACACGTTAGAGAACATTAGAGAGTTAGGTCAATTGCCCTCAAACGTATCTCCAAAGGAGAATAGTTAAAGTGGCTTAACATTAAGAGGCTTTGTCTACAGAGTATCTTTGGGGGAAGCAAAAATATCCCAAACTTCTGGACTGTATGCTAACATTTTCTTCTCTCCTCCCCCATCTTTTCCAGCTGAAATCAGAATGGGAAAATAGTTCCCTTGCAATTAACTACTTAATCATTCCCCCAAGTGCTGAAATTGTGGATATCAGGTGAAGGGTATCCAAATAGGCCACGCACAAAGGAACATTTGGTGTCAAACAAGTAATTTGCTGAATCTAGATTTGCTTGGTCAATTTGTATGTTTTGTGATTAAAAAGCAGAAGTATCATTCCAGGTTACTGGTGTTACAGGTCACAAAGAACAAAATATATCAAATAATGGTGTCATCTGAGATCCACCAAGAAATAATTCATAAAGATAAATTTCTGTCATAGAGATGTATTATGAAGATATAGATATAAAGCCATTTGTATTTTACAAAGGTCAAATAGAAGAAATTAAAAGTGACTTTTCTCATTCCTTTTGATAGAATTACTTATAAAAACTGATAATTTACACTTTTTTGCTGTAAGTAACTGCTAAATGCAGATGACTAACTACCTCTTAGGCTATAATAGTATATGTTCACTAAAGTCATTTTCTTTTCTTTTTCTTCTGCCTCCCTATACTTAAAGTACTATGGTTTAATGAAAGTATCTGTTGTTGAATAAGAATGAATAGAGTTTGTTTCACTTTATTCTATTTCACACCAACTAAAGTGATGCTAATCATTTGATCAAAGAGGGCACTTCATCTTGGGAGTTTTAAATGCAGTGAATTAGTTCTATTGTAGCTAAAACTTGAGTATATTTAAGAACTGATTCATACTGGTTAACTCCAGAAACAGCATATTATGGGAAAATGACCTTTAAATATCACCTAAAATATTAACATTAAAATATGTGCTTGAAATAAACAATTAAAAGCACATTTATAATGCACTTACAACAGCAACACTTGTTTTGGTGTTCTGTAATTTGAAAAATTCCAATAATATTCATACGTCTCTATTTTAAATAACACTATTAATATACATAATGACATGAATCTAAGCATTACTATTTACTATTCTAATATCAATTTCATATAATTGTTTTTCTGAAATAGAAATTTATAAGCATTTAGTCCAGAAGACTTAAAGTTCTGATTCAACTAAGATATATTTCAACCTTATCAAAAGATGTAGATCTTTAAATGGAGTAAAACATCTTTGATACAAGCTAACTTTAACTGTATAGTTTATAACTTACTTTCTATGACCTGATAATACTGTTTAGATATTACTTCCTATTTTAACATCTTTGAGTCTATGTTCTAGAAATACAGCTTTGGTTCACATTTGTCTTTTAAAATATGCCTGAAAATAAATGTGTTGAACACTACAAATTTTTCCTCTAATAGAATAAAAATGATTAATTTTTGAAACTGTTGTTAATGGTTATATTCTCTTAAACTAAAATCTTATTATATTTGATAAGCTTCAGTCTGTTTTAATATATTCCAAGGAATGCCACACACTGGAGGAAAAAATAGCAGTCACATGCCAAGGATTAGAAAAATTAACTTCTTCAAAATATCCTCTTATTGGAAAACTTTTTTCATTAAAAAGTCAGTTCTAATATCCAGTTAAATCTAAAGGTATTACAAATGCCATAAAAATGACAGGGTGAAGAACCAAAATAAATGCCTCAAAGTGAAGCAGCAGAGTTAATAAATAGCTGTGAAAAATCCTGTGCCCTTAAAAATTATACGGAATACACACATCCACCCGTAAACACACATATTGCACTTTCACATAATACACACGAAATATTTTGGGGAGAAATTTACAAAGTACCTTTTAATCAAAGAAAATTTCCTCATTTTAAAACAATTACACACCAACATTTTCAATAGAGATCTGACTTCTAGGCATATAAGGAACTGTTCCAGTTATAATGAGGCACAAGATGAATTTCCATTCTTTTACTGCTTCCTACAACTGTATCCAAAGTTCTAACTGAAGATTTCTTCTTTGGTAAGAGGTTCACTTTGCTAAAACACCCTCCCCTTTTTTAAACACTCTTTTTATAATGCCATTTCTTTGCTTGAAATAGTTTAACCACATTCCATTAATAATGTTATCTAATGCTTTTAGGTTGCTTGCTCTGTGCTAGGCTCTGACGTCAGCAATTTTCACCTGCTAACTCTTCTTATTCGCCATGGTTTTGCAATGGAACTGCTAGTAAACAAATATCCAATTGGATTCTACAACAGGAACTGGCAAAGGAGCTCTCTTGATATCAGCCAGCCAGGAGGTGGTGCAGCTTGGTGGAGTCCAACTGGCTGACTTCAGAGCCCATATTTTCGAGTCCTATGCAGTTCACCCCTCCCAGGTTTATGCTCAGTCTCCTTGATCTAGGGTGCAAGGCCCTCCACTGGCCATCTCTAAATTACCTCTCTAATCTCATCTTCCATTATTCTTTTTATCAGCAATTCACATGGTAGTCTCAAGAGATGTTAGTAAGTGCTCCTCAAAGAAAGTCTTCAGGATTACATAAGCATGAAAAAAAATTCCTTGTAGGTTAAATGCTCTGAAAAGTCCTGCAGTAAAGAAATGTGTTTACTTTTACTAAACATTCCTTATGCAGTCACAGAAATGTTTCCTTGTTTGTTCACAGAGCACCTTATGTGAATATAGTTCTTTATGTAACACAGTCTGGGAAATCATATTCTGCAAAAATACTGTGCTCCAGACTGATGAATTTATTCTTCCCTCAGTATTGTCGAGGTATAATCATTTCTATATCTTTGTCCCTATTGTTTCCATACCGAAAATGTCCTTACTTTTTCTCTTCTTAATTCAAATACAATATATCCTTCATGAATTAACTGGAAGCTTACCTTATCATGATACTTTATCAGATGACATGTTCTCACTCGAAACACCTTGCAATGTCTGCCTGTGGCACTCATTGAATACATAATGATGTGCATTCATTGTATTACTGTCTAATGCATGCATTGCCCATAGCTGCTTATTAGTACATGGCTTCTCTCATAGCCATATGGCAAACTCCTTGCAGTGACAAAGCATTAAATGATTTTGGAATCCTAGGGAATCATTCACTCAACTTGATTTTTCAACCATCATCGGAGAGTATAGTGCTTGCAATAATATTATAATCACACTCACAATAAGTTATCATGTTTTAAACTAAACCATGGATTTTTAGGTCCGAAAGGTATCTGAGATAGCATTCATTACAAATATCGATGAAAATTGAGTCCCAAAGAAGTTATTTTTATTTACTCTCTCTACTCAAAACGTTTCAGTATTTCCAATAAGAGGCAGAAAGAGAAAAGTAATTAAATATGGAGAATAAAGGCTAAATTATGAAATATGATAGGGTAGATGATTATAACATTAATAGTGATCCATAAAATGTGAGCGCCGTCGCACACAAACTGTGCCTTCTGACAAGGTGCAAAAGAAAACGTGATGGGCTCTGTAGCTCCTCTTATCCAACAAACACCTAACTTTGCACATGAAGTCAAAGAAAAGGTTATAAAATTAATGAAGTGCTTCCTATGTGCCAGACATGTGCAGCACAAGTCAAGTTCGTATTATCATTTAATTCCACAAGCGCTCTATAAGGTTAAACGCGTTTCCTTTTTTCAGATTACAAAACCAAGTCTCAGTGAAGTTAAAAAGGCAATACAAATTGTTTTGTTCATTATTTTTGTTAATAATTCCAAAGCCACTTAAATTTTGAACCAAGGGAGTTACAACATGGCACACAGGCAGGAATAAGGTTGGCCTTCCTCAGTGCTTAAACTCTGAGCCACACTTCTGGAGGAAGGAAGGAAAAGAAAAGGTGTCATTTCCTAGAAGAGTCTGGGGTCAAGCTATCAGTCATCTGCTTGTAGCATTAGAGGACTTTATTAGGACTCCTGTGGAAAACAAAATCTTGAGCAGACTGCTTCCCAGTGGGTTTGCCAGGATAAATAATCTGCAAAATGTACCCCTAGACAAATAAATTAGTTAACCTGTTGAATAGAGTTGCTGACTGTCATCCATCTGGATGATAAATAATGCCAAAATAAAGATTTCAGTTTGGGTGTCATTTATATTTAGCTCTTTTCTGAAAGAAACTGGCCAAGAATTTCCACTGAATCTTAAAGTTAGCACTGAAATATAATAAAGACCCTTATAATCTGCATAAGGAGATTGTTTTTTTGCTTATTTACTGATAGAAGAAGAATGTTTCAGGTAATCCAGAAACCTTATAAATTATTACTTCTCATTTTAAAAAAGATGTCAATTCCCCTGAAATGTGTTCTGTAGAAAAGTCCACTCTCAATTTTCCTGATTCACAAGTGTGTACTTTTACTAAATTTATCTTTTGAAATTTTTGTTGGTACGTAGTAGGTGTATACAACAAGTGTGCACTTTTGATAACTTTGTCCCCACGTGGTGCTTGTCAGCTTGGAAACTGGGCACTACCAACTGCAGTTCTGAGTGAATTAATGCAACGGGGTTTCAGACTATGAAAGAAGGGTCTTCTGAGGGGTTTTCTTCCAATCTTCAGGTAAGATGCTTTATCTTCTGAGCATTAATAGTATATGTATATATAAGCATACATCTTTTTTTTTTCCTGGAAACTGTCATGTTCTGCTCTTATTATCTGTGTACAACTCTTCCCCTGCTCCAGCAGATGTTAAGTACCTTGATGGTGGCAAGAGTGCTGTTCCTCTTTGTACTATCAAGATATGGTTCTGTGGATATGCAAACACACCACACACATGGGACTTGCTAAGAAATGAACAAATAAATGCTACAAAATATCTTCAGTTATTTTTAACAATCTCTGCACTGAAGGGATTGTTGATGATGACCTACAGTAGAAAATGGGACCTACTGCCTACTTGTGACTCATAGAAAATATTTGATCAAAAAGGCCTTGGGCTAGAGTTTAAACATGAAACCTGCCTCAGAACATTGTAGAGGGATTCAGCCAAATGATGGGCACGTGGTTCAGGGCAGGCATAGGATAATCTGATGTATAAGATGTTTACACTGAGAGGGAAGAAGTAGGAGAGGAGGGTGAAAAGAGATGATACTCATATTTAAAATGTCTCCAGTATTTCTTCATGATAATTTTTCTCAACTGTACTCCCCAAATGGGAACAAAACAGACTAGTAGAAGTGTAATTGTGGTTTGCTAACATGTGTAAGTACAGAAGAAAGAATTTGAAACATTTAGTTTAATATAGTTGAAGTAATCACAAACTACCAAAAACAATCCTTTTATAGGAAAATCCCTGCGTGCAACCATCCTCCCAACTGCTCCCTCTCCCCCTCCTCCTGATTTCAGCAGCCACTCACGATATCCAATTAGACAACACTAAGCGTGAAACCAGAGGGAAACCATAAGTACTCTCATGCTTCCTACCCGCTGTACATTCCACTGTCATTGTCAATAGAGTCAAGTGGGTGACTAGTTGTGAGTGATGAATCCAGGATCAATACAACACCATATACTTCTGGGAGAGCTTGCAATTATTGGCTTGGAAAGCACTCTAGCAAAATTTCAATATTAAGTCAATGCTCTAAATGCCTCTATTTTGATCCACGTTATACTAGCTAAAATGAGGAAAGATATTTTAAGCTGATTCTTAAGACAGGTTAATGTGTATGTATAAAAGATGTAAAAACTGAGGCAGTGAAGCAGTCAGCTCTAAAACCACTTTTCATGAAACAGTATTTATAGCATGCAAATGAAGTGATGTAAAGCATCTTAGATTAACAAAGTACTATTTTGTATTTCTCATTTCACTCTATCCCATGATATGTAAGCATCCCATAATCACACCCTTTAACATTTTATTTATTGGATAATGCAAGAGATATCATGTACTATAACTCTGATTGTGGAAAATAAAATCTCTCTTTAATGTTGGAAGGAGTTATACTAATGAAGCCTGTTTCTCCTCATATATGACCTCCTTCCAGTTCTGCGAGCCTTAAGAACCAGCTAATGTTGTTAAAATGGTAATCTGATGCAGCCCTTCCAGATCACGGCTTCCTAAACAGTCACTGTAGTATAATTCCCCTTATCTCAAACTAACAATAATAATGCTTCAAGCTTTTATATGCAGTCTTATCAGAAAATCACTGAGATACATTTTAGAAAGTTTTATTTTCAGGAAAAATGTCAATTGCATTCTGATGAATGTCATGTTCACCTCTTTTTTTGCTCCTTCGCAGATGAATTTTCCTTACGTTTTAGGTGAAAACAGAAGTGAGTTGAGGCAGTGTTAATGTTGTTACTGACAAAGGCCAGAATGCCATGTTTTCAGTTTACTAAGACAGAGAAAGTATCTAGCTAGAAGAAAACATTACGATTTGTAAATAAGAAGACAGTTTTTAAAATCAGGACATTTTGACCTAAGTAATATGTTTGCAGGAAAAGAAGAAGAAAATATATAAACAAATAAAACTTGCCTATGAAAATACTTGTCACAAATACCAGTTTGGGAAGTTCACAGGAGTAAATAACAAGCAGTTTTGGGAACTTCTAAAACTCAAAAGTATGCATTCTTATATATTTGAATGTAATAAACTGATATTGGTAATTATTGTAAGGTACACAACCCTCCAGAGTGGAAAGAGTGTGTGTTTTTGCCTCGGATGAAGCAACATGGATATACACTGTCTCTACCACTTATCAGCTGTGTTATCTTTGGCAAGTTGTTTAACCTCTCTGAGCTCCCATTTATGCACTAATAAAATAAGACTAGCAATTCTTACTTACAGAGGATTGTGAGAATTAAACTGATAGTTCATACCAAAAATTCCCCTCACAGTTCTGGTTCCCAATAAATATCATCCATAACGTTACTACCAAACACAAAGAATAAAATCAGAGAGAAGAATAAAAGGGAATATATGTCCCTTTGGAGGCTGAATTTTTTTTTTTAGCTTAATTCACTAGGTGATTGAGGCAGAGATAAAATATAGATTATTTCATTAATGTATTGAATAACAAAATGTTAGAAGTTCCAGAACCTCTAGTTAATACTAATCATGTAAATAAAAAACTTACATTGGCTTAAATTGTAGTCTACTTTTCAATCGAGGTTTCCTCCAGAAAATCCAAACCAGGAAATGTGGATTCTTTGTCAGACTAGTGAGTTGAAGAAAGTCCGAAGAGGAAGTAAGAATAGATTTGGGGATAGATGTAGTAGATTTGTATATGGGACTGTTACAGAGCAGGAAATTGTAATATTTTAGGGAAAGGTGAGAGATTTTCTGACTCCTGATGGTAAAGTTTTGGTTACAGGAACAGTTTGGGCTGAATCCAAGGAAATTGCTATATAATTCATATGCCTACTAGGAGACCACATTGCGCCTGGATGACTTGGAAATTGACAGATAGGAAACTGAGAGAATGAACTAATAATAGTAAGAAAACTTAATTATTGATAATATTTTTTTAGAAAATACTTAGGTAAGAGTTAGATCACTGAGAGGAGGGTGTGGTGACAGTAATGTCTGTAGGTGTGAAGAAGGGAGAGTTGACCTGGCTGAGTGGCCAATTTTGTCTATTCTCCTGCTGGTCTCATTATATTGTAGAAGTTAACGCACGTAAGTCAAGACCTTTCAGCTAACAAACCCAGCATTGCAAGACACATAACAGAAAAAAAATAGTTGCTATTTGATCAAGCAAAATAACCGTGGATCTACAGAAACAAAAATTATTTGCCTGGTTGGTGTAAAGGGAGCAATTGAAAGGTAAGTTAGAAACAATATATAGTTATTGAGATACAATGCTAGGCATATAATGTAATGTGATTTAAAAATAGCAATGGTTAATGAACAGGTAGAGGAAGCATTGCTAATGTAAAATGTTCCAAATGAAAGAAAAATGATCTTTTGTTTTAGAGGATAGTTTTAGCTGTTGTTATCCTGTGATAATAATCCTATTTGGTACAAAAATTAATAATTTGGATTAGCGAATTTTCATTTTACTTAGTTTTTCCACTGGTTTCTCCCATCTAATTTATTAGTTTTGTTAAGTGAATATATAGTGCAAGGAGATGAGGGAATTAAAAAAAATTGATATGGGGTGAAAATAAATAGAAGAGCGAACACTGTGTGTAATTTGGAGCTAATCCATTTTCATAATGTTTAAAACTTGAAATGTTAATTTTCTCTGATGTTAAATATTTACCATGTAACTGAAAATGAAATTACCGAATAGAAAATAATTAGATGGGTAAAGCAGACCAACTATGTACAGAGCTTATCATTAGTCACTTGGAATCTATTTTAATATAGTTTTAGATTATAAGACCCTTTTTACAGCTCTGAATGCATGTTGGCCCCCCTTTTTTACTCATATTACCAAGGAATGTGTAGAATGTTTATTTGCTATCCTTATTTTCAAACACTCAGATTATGCTAACAAGATTAATTAGACTAAATTTTAATAATGCTAGTGTCTTTAGAGTTTACTTGACTTCTCACAATTGTTGAAAAGCATATTTTAAAAAGCTCTATAGCAAAAAGCATTCTACGTAATACTAATGAACAGATAATAATGATTGACCTCTTGCTTCTTATAGTTTCTTCTCAATTAATGGCTACTAGATATAATTAGATTACTTATTCGAAGCTTTAGGTAGAAGTGTATCATTATAATAAATATCATCATGCTGAATTATAACGTATTTGAAATTTCCTCCCTAAAAGGATTAAATGTGGTGAAACCAAGGTATGTTACTATCTTTTATCACTAAAAGAGTACAGAGGCTTTAAATATTATCAATGCTTATTTTATCAGGGTCATTATTATAATCAAGAACCATTTAATTTACATGGATTGATTCATGCTATACTTTACTGACCAAACTAAGCATTTTGATTCCTTTCATGCGGCACATCAAAAACGTTATCACAAAATCGTGAAACTGCCATGAGACTTAGTTTGTCTTTTCTCAACAGCAAATATGTCACTGCTCGTCCTTTGAAAACTTCTAAGGAAGATTCAGATACAAAAATGCTAAATAGCGGTATTATAAAAATACATGCATTTTTTAGATCATTATTTCATCTAACTGAAAAAAGTAAGTTCAAAAAGAAGATCCAGAATTCACAAAAGTTGAACTATTGCCACTTTCAAATACTATTGAACCCCTGGAAATTTAACCTGAGGATGGCAATATTCCCTGGCTTGCACTATAACTCTGATGCATTGCAAAGTATAAAGTTAATGCATTCAGGCATTGCTTTCCTTTAACAAAAATGGAGAAAATATCCTGACAATATGATGGAAAACAGAAAAACAATAGTTATTTCATAAAGCAGACAAGAGCATCATTAAAGGAATGAATGTGTTATACTCTCTAAAAAGGACTGTGTTTTTTAAAATATAAAAATAACAGTGTTTTAAAATATAAAAATAACATAGTGTTTTTAAAAGATGATAGCAATAAGGAGCTAGTTGTGGCAAAGCATGAAATTGCACTTACAAGAATTAATTCTATAACAAATAACAGCATGGTGTGCTTTCACAGTGAAAGGGGGCATCCCACTGCTTGTGATTAACAGTGTTTTCTGGGATGAAATCACAAACCTACAAAATGATTTTAAGCAGAAGACTAAAGGAATAAAAAAATTATTTATGGAAAAGCGAACCATGCTGGTTTTTATTTTTGAGTGTTCCACAGGAGAAGTACTATGCTCAATATTTAATAGGAACTGAGTCTTTTAAGAGTAACATTGTAATGTTACAAAGTAATTATATATACCAAGTGAAAGATTTTCTTCCCATTTCTCTCTCAAGTTCAAGATGATATTTAATCTCATCTAGCATCAAGTGTAGTAACTCAGTTAAGAGTTACAGGAATCACTGACAAAGATGTTCTATGTTTAGGTTCTACCCATCGTCAATGACCATGAAACCCACCTTCTAACAATAGACACACGTGGTCTTTCTAAGATTTGAGAGAAGGAAATAGCATCTTGAGGCCACGGTTGGGCTTTACCTTGCAATCTTCTAGTTAATTTGCAAGCAGGTTTATCTTAACTCTTTGTGGTATCCAATTCTCAATTTTCAGGAGTAGATGATAAAAGCTGGCATTTTGAACTTGCACGTGCAAAATGTTAAAATTCATCTGATGTTACAAAGAAAGCCAAGGGGCTGGGGAGAGCTGAGGTTTCCGGCAAACATATATTGACCAATAATAAAACATTTGAATTCTAATGGGAAACCTGACACTAAATTGCTTTCATCAGCAATTAAAAACTCAGCACCTATGAAACAGATTTTCCCCTTTCGCTCTTAACTACAATTTCACTCACAATTTGAAGAAGTGTGAATTATATTCTATCACCTTGCAGAAGTATTTGAGGTTAAAACAGTATTTGATGTTAAAACAGAGACTACATCTATTTTTTTCAATCAACTCTTTGCCTCTGCTCAGAAGACTCTGAATCTTCTGACACTTCTAACTCTCCACCTTCCCACCTTCATTGCCTGCCAATCTCCCTGTCTCCAGTTAAGCACAGACACACTGACGGTTCCCAAGGTAAAGCGAACTCCTTCCCATACAGGCTCTCTGCCCCTTATTTACTCCCTGCCAAGGAAACTCTCCCTCCAGATCTTCTTCAGGCTGTGTCTTCACTTTCAGGTCTCAGCTTAAATGTCAACTCCTTGGAATGGCCTTTTCTGACCACCCATCTGAAGCCTATTTGACTCTTCTCTTTCCAGTCACACAGTTAGTAGTGTTCAGTTAGACATTTATAAGCTATCTGTTAAAGCTCTATGTCTCTGAGTAGAATATAAGTTCCACGGGTTAACAATTGTCTTCTCTACCCCATGGAGCTTATATTCTTGATTGTCTTGAGTCTATGAGTTCCACAAATATCCAGTGCATACATGCTTACTGTGCTATGTAATTAGCAGAATAGACACAATTCTTGACCTCCAAAAGCTCATTGTCTACTGAGGCTGGAGGTGGGGGTGGAATAGATTGTGTATCCCAGGCATTTGGACAAATAAATTTATACTATTTCACTATTATCCTTCAATTCAGCTGTTACCAAGACATTAACAACAACAACAAAAATTATCTGGGAAGAGTGAATTTTTCTTTCTTAAATATTTCTGGACTATCAATTTAATGTTTTATAATTTTAAGGTGGATTTATAAACAAGCAGAAGAATGCTCCAGTGGTTAAGTCAGTGGTTTCAAAACTTCGATGTGCATCAGAATCACCTGGAGGAATGACCATGCTGCATCAAACCCTCAGAGTTTCTGATTCAGTGGGTCAGGGAATATTTCTAATCCTTTGTAGGTAAGTTGCTGCTGCTGGCGCAAGAATGACACTTTGGAAACCACTGATATAAAAAAAAAGAAGTAATATATTAATATACTTGGAAACGAATTCCATT
This sequence comes from Homo sapiens, assembly GCF_000001405.40. Taxonomy (NCBI): domain Eukaryota; kingdom Metazoa; phylum Chordata; class Mammalia; order Primates; family Hominidae; genus Homo; species Homo sapiens. Next base: position 180,417,856 of record NC_000004.12, on the reverse strand, counting down.
TCTTAATGCATACATTTTCCCCCTGGCCTCCATCTTGTCCATGTTCTTTTGCAATATTGTGTTAATTTGGATTATTCAACAGGAGAGGTAGTAGATTTTCTTTCTTTGGGAATTTCTACAGCTTCATAGCCAACTAAGTGTAGAGTATTTGAGAGGAACTCTCTACTAATTAAGAGACACGATTGTGTGACTTTTCTTTCCTTTGCTGCTCAGTGTTACTGTATGGAAAATGTTGTGCCTTGCATTTCTTGTTAATTTTTATCTCATTTTCCCCTTGATATTTTATTTTTGGTGACTTTGTAATTTGTCCTGAAGTTCCCAGTTTGGCTCTTATTGAGCTCTTGTGTTGGATTAACTTAACTATGTGAAGAGATTTTTAGTTTTTTAACATTAAACATTCACTCAGCAATATTCATTGATCAGAAGCTACGTGCAACTCTGAAGATGTACATGACCATTTTCTTCAACTGGCTTAAAACACAATATAACAATGTACACACAAGAAATACTTTCAAGAATTCCTTTCCAAGGAAGTATATGGTAAGTGTCATATCAGAGGCATAAACTATCATAAAAAGACAAAGCATAGAGAGTGCATTAAGTTAGAATTAAAAAAAAAGAAGTTGCATCTAATTTGTGCCTTAAAGAATTTATTTCCTCTAATGGTTATTGAAGGCTTTGTCATTTTACACTGAGGAAAGGCAACAACAAGGGGAATGGTTCAGACAGCAAAATAAAGGAGAATATATTTAGGAGTGAGGAAGATCTGTTTGGGAAGAGAGATCTGGGTTTACTTGCAGAAAGCTTTAAGTGCAGCATAAAGAGAGGGAAATGAATATAATAGGAAAGTGTGCCTGATGGAAGGATAGAGAGCAACTGAGAGATACATTAAAATCTATGTTTTAAGAAGATGAAATTAAGTCATAGGAGGGACTGGAGTGAAAAAAAGCTGGGGGAGAAATTTATTTTCCTATGCTAATATTACCATTTCTAACACGGTGTGGTAAGAAAGTCAGGGAGAGTCCATAGGAGGTGCCAGCGAACCAAGGATGAAAGTTGGTTTGATGGATGATGAAGAAAAAGAAAATGAGGATCATGTTCTGGGGGACTCAAGACACAGGAGAGGAGGAAGTAAAGAGGTTTTGCCCAGACACAGGGGTTCTGAATTTAAGGTCCTGGAGGTGGAGCTGCTATGAAGAGGGTTAGTCTGGAGGAAAACTATGTAAGTCATCTAATGGGTGACAGGAGGGTGGAGAAGAGGGCAGAGATTGCTGTTAAAGAGGAGGGAGACTTAAATCAAAGTGTTAGCGAAGTCCCTCATACGGATTTATAAGTGGTAAAATGTAGGATATAAAGCTTTGAGGAAATAACAGAAAATGTGGGATCCTTTTTTTCTTTTTTTTAAAACAAGGGAGAGAATGTTTTGAAGGTAATCAAACCAATGGTTTGAATATACACAGATCGTATAAAAAGTTGGGTTTCCAAAGTGGAAACTTTGTTAAACATTTTTGACAGAACAATGAAGTGGAATTTTCATAGATGGGGAACTCTAAAGAGCAAGATTATCCCCTTGATCTCATGAAGATTTTGGAAGAGTAGAAAAAGGCATGGTGTCCACTGGGGATAGCTGTAGGAAAAGTTCTCCAGGTTCGAAGCAGTGCTTTATGTTACAAATTATCAACGTAAAGAAGATTTCTCACAATAGAAGGGAGGTTGGTGTACAATGACTGTTACCCCTGTAGCATCACAACTATTCTGCAGCGGAATAGCTTACAGAGCTCCACCTTACAGGCAAAGACTTACCCTAGTTCTTGAGTTCAGGAGTGGCTTCTGCCTTAGGAATCTCCTCCAGCAGTGACATTTCTACAACTTATAGGTAGATATCTAAGAAGCAACACTGACGACTTATGCCTCTACTGCCTAGACAGTCTAGTGACAGACTGCATCTTCATAAAGCACACAGTGCCCCGGTGTACTTCATCAACAGAAGACCATAGAGGCAACAGACGGTGAAAGAAAGGTGCAGGCAACAATGGTAGCATCACAGCTATTCTGCAGCGGAAGAGCTTACAGAGCTCCACCTTACGGGCAAAGACTTACCCTAGTTCTTGAGTTCAGGAGTGGCTTCTGCTTTAGGAATCTCCTCCTATCAGTGATATTTCTACAACTTATAGGTAGATCTCTAAGAACAAACCACTGATGACTTATGCCTCTATGCCTAGACAGTCTAGTGACAGACTGTGTCTTCATAAAGCACACAATGCCCCAGTGCACTTCATCAACAGAGACCAGAGAGAGCAACAGGTGGTGAAAGAAAGGTGCAGGCAACAATGGGGAGGCTAATTTGTGTGGCAGTGGTGGCTACTCTTGCTTGGCAAATTTATAAGCAAATCCTAGCAGACCTATATCTTGCCTGCTTCTCACTGTAGGGAAAAAGGGGGACATATTTTCAGTTTTGCTTGTAATTTAGAGTAACTGTGTGACTCAGTTCTGTTCAATAAGCCGTAAGAGAAAGTGTGATGGGGCATTTCTAGGGTAGTTTTCTTCTAGCCTGCCCTTTTCTAACTGCTTCTACCTCCATATATTGTTTTCTGCTTGTAAATATAATAGTGACATCCAGAGATGCTGCAGTCCTCTCTAAACATGGAGAGGAAAGCTAGTTATTCATGATGGTTAAAAGAGAGAAAGAGTCTTGATCCATATGACAGTCCAAGAAGCTGAAACAATGATATTAACTGCATTCCTAAAAAATTCAGTGGGAAAATTAAGCTCCCACTGTTCACGACACTTTAGTTACCTGTTTTTTCTGTTACTTTCAAGTAAGTGTCATCCTAACTGGTATAAGTGACATAAGACGACTTCTAAACCTGGAACTATGGGAGTAATTAACATACCTGAGGACGTTAGAAAGTGGGTGAAAAGGCTAAGTACTGTGTTATTGACAAGGAGAACCCTAAACAGTCAGCCACCTTGTGAATGATAGTGAGACGATTATATTCTGAATGGATGGAATACAACTCTATGAAGAATACGATGACACGAATATGACGAGGGTGATGAAATGTGTTCCCTCCCTGCTTGGGCAAGGTAAATTTTATCCTTATGTTTTCAGACACAGACTAGTCAGTTTGGTGACTACGTGAAGAAATTTATGTCTTTGCTGTTTGGGGCTTTTATACAATGTGATTCACTTTCAAAACATGTTGCTATCACATGTTAAGAAAGAGTGAAAATCTTGATGTTTTATTCATCTGGATCACAAAAAGACATGTGGGCATATTATAGGTAATGCTCCCAAACTCGTATAAGTTCTTAAGTATTACTGCCTTTTGGCTCCTAGAGGAATATATTTCCTGCCTATTCTTCATGGAGAAGGAATTTATTAGAGTATTTTAAGTAAGTCAATATAAAAATATTGTCCATTAACCACTCTAATATCCTGCCTGCCTCCAGTCATTAAGATGCACAGCAGGACAATGAGAAGAATGTGATTTAGACTGGTTATTAAATGATATATCATTTGCTAATATTCAAAGTTCATTTAAAGAGACTCTTAACAGCTTAATGTGAAAAATGCAACTTTAGTCTGTGTATTCATTTAGCATCTTAAATGCAATATGGCATATTAAATACACAAAAGCAACTGTAATGGAAGAACACCAGCTATGCAGTTTGTCTTTGGGGCTGAAAAAATTTAAAACCTCTAACTCAGAGTTCCATGGCATGAAATCATGGATTTAAGTTAATTTTTTTTCCAGAAACATTTTATTTAGTGTTCCAGTATAGTTACTTTCCACAATGAAATATTTGAGCTGTTTAGGTAAAAACCAAATAGTGACTGTCATGACTATCCTAATGGCAGCCTGGTGGCCCCGGTGTCATCACACCGATATCCTTGAGGGGATGTGAAGATACACAAAGTGCTTCCTTCAAATAAGGTTGAACCTTTAGAATGTATTCTGAAATCGCCCTAGGCAAATTTCAACACTAAGTCTCAGAGTTAAAAGTGGATTATAATCACATTATACACATTATTTTCTTCATAATGCAACCATGTGGCACATTTCCTAGCAAATGATAGAAATGATGAGCTGCTTAGGCCAGAGTGACTTCAGAGGAAAGAAGATGCATCATGAGTTTACACTTCACACAAGTCAGAGAAACAAAATGTTGGATTAAGCTGCAATATTTCAACTGGAGGAAACAATTTTAGTTAGGAAATGGCCTTCAATTAATGCGTTTTAAGTTGCTTTAATGTTTGTATTTACTTAGATGCCTGTCTCAGTGTTTTCTACAATGTGACACAGATTCTTTGACATTTCATTTAAAAGTATGGAGTATCTTAATTTTTCTTTTAAATGGAAGTATCATATAATTCCTTAATTCCAGTACTTATTACGTTTGGGGCCTCTGTAGCCATCTTATAAATGTAGGCTGTACTCCATCATCTGTGTTTCAGAGTTTATGGTCCATACTTACCCCTGCAGGAAAGTTACAAAAGGCATCTATATTGCAAAAAGATAGCAAACCTAAGATATTAGCTAAATATGTCTTACTTTTCTTGTTGTTTACATGCACACATAAAATATGTTACTTTGATTTTTGTATGCAGTTTACATTTATTGGCTTGTGTTTAAAATGATTTTGGGAAGAAGTATAAGTTTTTCGAAGAAAAGTTAAGATTGATATTTGGGGGCTTTGGTTTTCCACAGAAATCAATATGGCAGTCTCTCTGCCTTCCAGTCATCCCGTCACTCCTGGGTACTGAAGCATGGACTGGAACTGTTAGAACACCCACTGTTCTGAGGTCTCCCTTGTACCAAGCTGCAATGTTTTAAGAAATGACAGCCTCAGCTTTAGAGTGCAACTCTCTAGGATTTTCTTTATAATTCTGACTTTTTAGTGGGACTCCCTTTTCATTAACTTCCTCAATCATTCATATATGTTATCACAGAAAAATGAATCCATTATTTTCTTGTGCCTTAGTTTTATTCACATTCTCCCCAAATTTGCACAAATGAATTTACTCCCATGTTTAAGTCTTACTTCTTTTTGCCTCGATGGAAAAAGTATTGTTGTCACATGGAAAAAACTGGGGAATTGGAACATAGGAGGAAAAAGGACCTAGGTATTCCAAGAGTTAAAAGAGTCAGTCATTAGCTAATACAACAGACAAGAAGGCCAGATTCCAAAATGTAAATCCAAAAGCTTTATTGTAAACTGAGATGAGTTCAAATTTAGTTTTAATTGCAACGTTAAAATTCCTGCCTTTTTTGCTTTTAACTCATCTTCATTTGGGCTTAAAACAAGATTATCAAATTTTAAAAAAATCTAGCTTACACTGAATAGTATTTTTAAAATATGCTATAATAATAAAAGTGAAATGACACTAAGCTGTGATTCAATCTATTTCTTTCATTTTAATCTGAAAACTACATGTATTTTCCTAATACAGTTTCAGATATCAATTTTTGTTTTACAGCTTAGGTATACATATCATCCATTCTAAGATTGTGAGTGCTTTAACAATATGACACTGGAGTGGGGAAGAGAAGAAAACCACTCAAGGTGAAGGGTTAGGAGGGAGGATCTGTGGGAAGTACGGGGCAGTACTGGCAGCATGAGAGACAATGTGACCATTGAGGTCACAGGAATGTAATCCACACCAAAGAATCAATTTCAGATTTATTGTCTTGCTGGCTTTATGCTGAATCTTTAATTAAAGTCATAATTTTCCAAGTTTAAAGTGATGGCTGAAGACAGTGTGCAAAATTTGGGTTTGCATTATGGCTGCAAGTCAAAATACTGCTTGTGTTCCTAGTAATAAATGGCCTGCAATAGCTCAGTCGGAACAAGCAGGCGAGAGGTAGAAACTGTGTCTGGAGGAGCTATGAAGACAGGGAACCACCTCAGACCTAAAAAACCACTCCTAAGTCTTCTTAGATGAGATTCCTCCTTTTGTTAACAACTCCATTATTTCCACAGTGTCACTTATTTTCTTTACATTTAATTCTTATGTTTAAGTTAAGTTCTTAATACAGGAATTTGCACTAATTGCCTCACGATCTCCCAGTTTCAGAAGAGCATTATAGTAAGTATATCTCCTCATAATATAATATTTTCTCTTAATATATTTACTGTATAGTCAAGAGAAAAAAACATAAAATGGGCATAGAATATAATACACTTAAAATACAAAAATATACATTTTGAAAGGTTATCACTTAATTGCTTTAAAAATTAGTTTTAAACCTTTCCTTTTAATGTGTAATTTTCTAATACAATAGCTTATTTCCCTCTAACTAAATTCTATTCCCATAATCGTCAAATCTGCACAAATGCACCTATCCACATGTTTAACTCTTATTTCCTTTTGCCTTAATGAAAACAACATTGCTGTCGCATGGAAAGAACTAGGAAATTGGAAAGTGAGAGAAAAAAAATAATCAGGGGTACTTTGAAAAGTACTTCATCCAAGAGTGGCAGTATGCCTAAAACATCTGGAATAAGGCAGCCTGGGTTTGAGTCCAATTCACATATTTTTGTGATCTTGAGCAAATTAATTTAATCTATCTCAGCCTCAGCTTTGCCACATGCAAATCGGGTATACCAACACTACCTGCATCATAAGTAGCTTCTAATTATTCATTTTAAAAAATTAACAGCACCTGGTACATACACTGGTTAAAATTATTATAACATTTTCTCTCTATCAAAAGCATAGATAATACTATATCATTACTTAAATACTCCTCTCAGCTTATCAGTGAAGAGTTAGGTATTCTGAACTGTGTTCATACAATTAATAAAATATCTTCATCCTTTTCACAGTGAAATATATTATCAAGAATTAAGAATCTTTCGCTGAAAGGTACCACAGAGAAAGGTTTTAAAGTGAAATAACCCAGTTGAAATGTACTTTTCATGATGTTAGAACCCATCTGAGCTTGGAGGGAAATGCCTGTGGAGAGGTCGACATATTAGGTCAAAATTGAAAGTAAAGTTGATTTTTACTCCCACCTTACTTTCCTCTTTTCAGATTCATAATGCCAACCCTTTTCATGTCCAATTACAAAGGCCTGTTGGGGCCAATCAGCATTGAACTGCAAGTCAGATAATCTGACTTCTAGAGCTAGCTCTGACTTACTCTTGTAAACTTGGGTTATTTGTTCAACTTTTCTCAATTTCCTCATCTACAAAATTAAGAAGTGGGCAGGTGATATTGAGGTTCTTTTCAGCTCTAATAGGCTATAATTCTGTTCCATTAATGGATACTTGATTTCCTTGAACAGCTTCAAATTTTATGTAAAATTTCCATTTTGATTAAGAAATAAAAGTGTAACAGGTTGAAGACTCTCAATTCAGTTTTAACATGAGCTCTGGACAGACTCCATATTTCTTATTCCTTTTAATCATTAAACCAACTCCAGTTTAAAGATTGAGCCTCAACTTTAATGTAAATTCCATCCCCTATCTTATGGTTACTACTAGACTGTTGACCTGAAGCTCAGGGGACCTCAGGTTGGAGATGGGACAGTGGTCTGTCTGCTCTTTGACTTCCCCTTTCACCTTTGTATTTGGAGTGAGAAAGAAGAAGGTATCTTTGGTCTAGATTTATGATAATTTCCCTCTTGTTTAATCTACAGCCCAGATCACATAGTGTTAGGGAATGACAAAGGAAATGGGGAAGTGAGAGGGAGGGTAGGTATCTTTGGATATCACTGATAGAAAGGGAGGTCTTACTGTAACTTGGTCTGTTTCTATCTATTACTGGTTGCCATCTTCACACATGACATCTTTAAAGGGCAAGACCTTCTTGCAACATTGACAATAAAAGTTTTCCAATAAGCTAAATCTCAAAGAAGCGTGAAATCATAATACCGATGAATTAGGAAACCCCTAACAATTCTATAAAGAAAGGAATAAGGGAAATACATAACATTTCTTTCTTTCTATAACAAGTTTTGATTCAGTCCTGAAAAGTCCTGGCCAATTGAGCAAAAAGAGAAAGGTCTGATTTGCAATTGAGCACCTATACTATGCCTTGCTTTAAAATACTTTGAATAACAATTTTGTATGTCTCCTTTCTTCGAAGATTAATTACAATTTTTCATTTTTGAAGAACACTGATGAACAATAGAAGATGGGATGACATAGTGATGGTGAATAGGGAATTTTAATTACTCCTAAAAGACAAATAAACATTGTCCAATTAGACCTGGGGTATTAAAATAATGTGATTGTTATGTCTGAATTTTTATTTTTTAAAAGACTACTTTTTTCCTTTGTGAGATAATCTATTATGAGTATTGTTTTCAAAAATGCTTTTAAAAGAAGTTTTAAAGGTTTCATTTTAATCTGGCCCAGAAGAGCAAGATTTTCATGTTTAACACAGTATATGTAGAACTCACGAACGAACAAATGACAATATTGTTCCTGAGAAGTTCTACATTTTATTTTTCTTTAGTCTTATGAAATGTCATAGAGATCATCAGGCTTTGATGGTTGAAACATATCGTAGTTAACTTTTTTTTCCCCTAAACCTTATTTAAAGACAAATTAACGAGTGCCACTTACAGTTACTCATTGATTCTGCTTACCTGTGCTGTTCATAGAGTTAAATGGTAGTGAAACATAAACAGCATATTTGGTGGTTTCTGTGGCCAAGGCCATCAGTACCCAAGATGGCCATGAGGTGTTAGGGGCTGCAGAAAGGACGGATGAGGCTGATACAAAGACACTTATTGGCATCGACCCTCTCTTCCTTTCTTTATTTGCCAACCTCCCACAGGGATATCATTACCAAAGATCTTATCCTGTTTTTCCCCTCGATAATATTGTCTTAGTCTGTTTGGTCTACCATAGACTGGGTAGTTTACAAGGAATGGAAATCTATTTCTCAGGCTACTGGAGGCTGGGAAGTCCAAGATCAAGGCACTGGCTGATTTGATGTCTGAGAAGACCTTGCTTTCTGGTTCATAGATGGAAACTTCTCACTGTGTTCTCACATGGTGGATGGGGCAAGCTAGCTCTCTGAAATACCTTTTATAAGGGAACTAGGCTGGGTGCCGTGGTTCATGTCTGTAATCTCAGAACTTTGGGAGGTCAAGGGCGGATCACTTGAGGTCAGGAGTTCCGGACCAGCCTGGCTAACATGGAAAAACCCTGTCTCTACTAAAACACACACACACACACACACACACACACACACACAGACACGCACACAGACACACACACAAAAGTTAGCTGGGTGTGGCGGCACTGCCTGAAATCCCAGCTACTCGGGAGGTTGAGGCAGGAGAATTGCTTAAACCCGGGAGGTGAAGGTTATAGTGAGCTGAGATTGTGCCACTGCATTCCTCTGGGCAACAGAGCAAGATTCTGTCTCAAAAAGATAAATAAATAAAAGAAAGGAACTAATTCCAATCATAAAGGCACCACCCTCATGATCTAATCACCTCCTGAGGCCCTGCATCCTAATGCTATCACCTTGGGGTATAGGATTTTAACATATGCATCTTATGTGGGGAGAGGACACAAAAATTGATCACAAATATAATATAAATTCCAAAGTCTTCTCATGTAAGTTCTACATATGGAAAAATTATAAAAAACACAGAAAGCTACTTTTTCACTCCAACATTGAAACAAGAGCTGCCTTTTTAATTCCAGAAAGATTCCACCAAACATTCACTGTTTCAGAGTACTCCCCATAGTCTGCTTTATATATTATAAATCCATTGGGCAGGGGAGATTACTGGCTGTTTTACAGCCATTGTCCACTATAGATTCAGTCTTAATAAAAACGGAAGGAAATAAACTATTAAGATAAAACTTATAAGATTTTAGAAATCACATTTATATTTGTATTTGCTTTCAAACTCTTAAATAATTATCAATCAAAATGGGAATTGAGAAGACTTTCTGCTGTTTACAGTGATATAGCCAATTTCAGAGATTTTTCTAGGAAGAATACCCTCTGTTTACAGCTGAGTTGACAATCTTGTCTCATATAGACATTTAGTGGGCAAAACATTCTGCACCTTAACAAGTCCCTAATGCAAACATAAAGAAGACTGATGTCTCAGCAATAACAATAGCACACAATTATGCTCTTTTGTAACATGTTTTCCATGTATGATATTGACAGATAAGAGCTTTATGGCTTAGAGCACGCTTCTTGGGGTTCATATTCTTCAAACTACCTGTCCCGTGGGATCTCACCATTTCTAAAAGGATATATTAGACACTGTGGTAATAAGGCAGACTTTTGTTTACCAGTGTGGTATCACAAACCTTTCAAAAATGGCATGTAATTTGCTTCTCAGCATTATGTCAGTGTATATTGCATAGTTCAATGTGTCTCAAGTTGAGCAGAAGCAATCTGTCAACACTATGACTAAAGCTGCATAAGTGGTTTCCTGTAATATCTGATATGCATATAGACTCCACAGGTTTGCCTGCGTGCAGTGTAGACCTGTCACTCATTTTCTTTACAATCATCTTGTCTGACTGTTTTGGAGGAAAAGCTTTCCAGCTGGCATCATAGGCCGTGGGGTAAGTAATGTAGCCTTTCACATCTGTAAATGAAATTGCTTCTCTTAATGAGTCAGGCCCAAAGTGAGAATGAGTTAGATGTAATCCTCATTCATGCATATAAAGCTACTGACAATCTAGAACAACTAAAGACAGTGTTTCAAAAATTAAAAAAAAAAACCCTAGGCCAAACTCGAGAATTATTTCAACACAGCATTTAAAAAATGTACATAGGGCATGGCTACCTATGATTTATAGCAGCTACTGGAAGCTCTTGTGCAATAATGCCCCCTAGGAAGTAAAATATAATAATCAGGTGTTCTAAAATAGACACAAACAAAATAATATGCAAAGTAAGCAAAGCTGTCAAACCACAAACAAGAAATTTAAGTTAAGAACAATAATGCATTTAGGCTAGCTCTTATTATAGATTTGAAAATAGGTGACATTTCCATAGATTAAAAAACATTTTAATATAAATAATAAATATTTTAAATTTGTGTGATTTCATTTATTCATACCTCAATAGGACAATAATTTGCTGAGGACTTTAGTAAATTATTTTCATTTCATAGTACTTGTGTTTCAGATATTTACAATATGTATATGCATCCATTTAAGAGACATAATAAAAGCCATATACACACCAGTTGATATAATTTGGATATTTGTCCCCTCCAAATCTCATATTGAAATGTGGCCCCCGATGCTGTAGGTGGGGTCAAGTGGGAGTTGTCTGGGTTATGGAGGCAGATCCATCATGAATGGCTTGATGCCTTCCCCACTGTAATGAGTGAGTAGTAGTTCATGAGAGAGCTGGTTGTTTAAAAGAGCCTGCCACTTCTTTTTCTCCTCCTCCCCTTCCTCCTTCTCTCTGACCATGTGACACACCTGCTCCCTTTCCACATCCACCAGGTTTGAAAGCTCCCTGAATCCCTCACTAGAAGCAGTTGCTGGTGTCTTGCTTCCTGTGCATCCTGCAGAACTGTGAACCAAATTAACCTATTTTATTTGTACACTCCCAGTCTCAGGTATTCCTATTCAACAATGCAAAGTGGACTACACCAGCTATTATAAAAATCCAAATTTGAAAATATTGCTATTAAAGTAAAATTTAGATTTTGCAAAGTTTTCTAACTGTAAAGGCAGAGTCCATAATTATTATACCCTTTGGTGAGACTAATAATGCCATAATATTTTGTCCATTTGCAGATTACAGGAAATAATTTTACATTTGCCTAGCGTGATCTCACATACCTTTAGCATGTTTAATATCTATTAGAAATACCTTTCATATACATTTTCTGGAACTTGTGCTTGCCTAGATTATTTCTTGCAGAGCTATTCATGTTTGCAAAGATAGCCTAACAGCAACATAAGAGACACTGGTTCATTCCATGTCCGTTCTTCTTCTGTGTAATTGAGCATGCTCTTGGTACCCAACAGTTAAAAACAACTGATAGATGATGAAGCTGCACAGCACTTCTGAAAATTCACCGCTGAATACACAGGCACGAAAGAAAGCTGGGGGTTATACTACAGTGTTAGAAATGTGCTCTGAGCCTGGGGTAGGTTTAGGCAGTTCACTTAGAAAGGTTAGGACAGACAAAAAAAAATATGGTAGTTAGCAGGAGAAGCCTCAGCTGATTTCTGAAGAACAAGTTGAATGGACAAACACAGGGGAGGCACGCCTTGTGAAAAGCATGGAATGCTGGCGGAGAAGACACACTTTTGAACCTGCAATGGCTTCACTATGCCTGGGACATTCATGCCTATGAGGAAGAGATTGGACATAAAGGCAGGGACCAAAGAGTCAATGTGTCATAAGCAACATGGTAAGAAGTTAAATTTTATCTTGAAAGTAACTGGTGGCGAACTGCAAGAACTTAAGCTGTATGGTGACATAATTCATTTGTGTTACAGAATAATAACACATTTTTACCTGTCTGTCTGTAGTGGGATGAACTAAAAATGATAATGACTGAAGACGATGAGATTCATCAGGAGGAAGCTGTCATACAGTAGATAATTTGTAACCACTGAAGTACAACAATGGATGTTTAGGAGGTAAACTCTATTACTGGGTTATAGTTACTGAACTTTTCTTCCATTTGTCTGTTTTTGTTTTTTGGTGGAGGAGGAGAGAAAAGAAAAGTTTCATTGCAAAGTGAATACATTCTCATTGTGGAATAACCCAAGCAATTTAAGAGTTATAAAAAGAAAATTAAAATTGACTCTGACCTTCCCAGTGTCCTTTTTACCTTTCACATTATACTTTCTATTACATTAATGAAACTTGAGTTGTTTTATATTGTATACAAACAACATTTTCATGAATTAGAAAGATTTGATTCCAAATAATTGTAAGTTTGACATTAATGTATTATTAACTCTTTGTTTTTGAACCCATATATCCTCAGTGGCTGTTCTGCTGAATGCATGTGCTTGGTGCAACTTAGAATACCGCACTGCAGTGTGTAGTGTCTGGTAAACTCTTTGTACCTTAGATGAAATAAACTTCAGATCTAGCAACAATTCAATTATTTACAAGGATGCAGTAGTTTATTACTAGATAAACAAAGCTGAAACAACTGGAAATTTGAGGATTTTAAAAATGTATTCCAATGTTCCAACTTAATTTAAAGTTCTGAAGTTTCCTAATAAACTACTTATTAATGTTAATGAAATATGGGATTAAGATATATTCAGAAAGAATATGCTTTTGATAATCCTAAATATTAACGGATTTATGGCAACAAATTGATTCATAAAGAGCTAATCAAAATTGGACAAAATTGGACAATATGTCATAAATGTGAAATCAATCATGTAAAGTAGAAGGGAAACCAATGAAATACTTTAGAAAGAAAAATGAAGTGAAGTTCAAGCTAACATGTAGCCAGAAATAATGATGAAACAATGGAAATCACAAATATGATTTTCTGATTGTATCCAAGATAAAGTGTCTGCTAGAACAGAAGATGATCACAAAAATAGACTTCCTTAATGGGCTGAAGAAAGTATTACTTTGAGGCCATGAGTTTGGAAATGAAATGTAATAGGTTTCATCTAAGGTTGAAATGAAACCTTTTTCTTCCCCTCATCTACGGAAACTATTCAGTTCTCTTGCTGTAATTCCACATTTATGAAATAATCTTTCTGAATTAAAATTGATTTTTCTAACTGGGAAGTGAGTATGTAATATGAGTTTGTTCAATTGATTAATTAATGAATATTTTTGAACCAAGAATTATTTGACAAATCATAGAACAAGAAAGGGAGAGAAAACAGGAGATTATATATTTTTAAAATGTACAATATAAAATATTAACTAATGTGAAATACAAGGATAGTCCTCTGAAAACTAGCTATAATATAAAGAACATTTAAGAGAATATATATATGTGTGGATATATATATTTACATGTGTATATATAAATACATCCATCAGTAAAAGGAAACAAGAAAATTGTCCCCATTATCACATTATATTGTATTTCTGTGCATGAAGGACAATTACATGAATTTGTGCAATATGAGCTGACTTTTATGATCTGATTAATGACAGACAAGCTAGAAGATCAGAACCAATGTAGCATGACATCAACATTTTTAATGCATTAATTTGACAGTATTAATTGGGCACCTTCTCTGTTCAGAACCTATTCCAGACTAGTAACACAGTAGGGAGTAAAACAGACAAAGTCCCTGCACTTTAACTTTCATTCTAATGGGCAGGGCAGGGAATAATAAACAAATCCATTAAAACACATATCAGATAGTAATAAGTGGTATAACAAAAATACAAAGGAAGATAAAGGAGTACGGCCATGCCACGGTGGGGAAAGGATAGTTACTTAGGTAAGTTGTCTAGGATAACCTCTCTTGTAAGATAAAATCTCAGCAGAAACATAAAAGAAATTTTAGAGAGTGAGCTCTGCAGACAGTCAAGAAAGGGTATTTCGAGCGAAAAGATCTGCAGAAGCAAATAACCCTGATGCAAGAGCATCCTTGGCAGCTTCTGTGACATGCAAGAAGTGCGGTTTATAAGAGAGGTGTGTGCAGGACGGAGGAAGGAAGGAGAGGAGGAGGTCAAGTATGTTGCAGACACCAGGGTAGATTGCGTAGGGACGTATAGGCAGGAGCAGAGCACATCCAGTTTGTCTGGGAATGTGCCTGTTGACACATGTTGTCTGGAAGTGATTACCATTAAGCTTTTTTCCAGGAGAAAGAACACCTAGGTTTGCATGGGAAGTTATATGGATACCCTAATAATAGCTCATTAAAATGATTTTAGCTTTTGCACTTAGCGAAGTGGGAAGTTATTGAAAGATTTTTATCAAACATAGGACAAATCTTAATTCAAATTTTAAGTGACACTTTGGCTGGTGGACTAAACAGACACTGTAGTAGCAAAAGGGGAAAACGAGAAAATAGTTCAAGAAGAACTCTAAAAGAATCCAAGTAAAATTTTTGCTGTGGGCTGGGCAAGGGAATTTCTGTTGGATGTGGGGAGAAGTAGCAGGACAGTTCTTATTTGCTGATAGACTGGCTGTGGGATAGTAGAGAATGAAGAGTCAAGGGTGATTCTAAAGGTTTCGCCCTCAGGATCTAATTGGATGAAGTTGCCATTTACCAAGATAAAGAAGGGTTGGGGTGGATCAGGGGTTTTGGATGGGGAAGTCAGGAGTTTGGTTTAGGTGTGCTACATTTGAGATGTCTACTAGACATCCAAGTGTAACTGAAAGTATGAGGGTATGACTCTAGTGTTTGGGGGGAGGTGTAGGTTGGGAGCTTAAATCTGTAAGATAGTATAGAAAGGCATAAGTCTAGATGAGATCACATAGGGGTTACTTAGGTGAAATGGACAGAAGTTTCAAGGATGGCACATCAATGTTAAGAAGTCAGGAAGATGAGGCCGGGCACGGTGGCTCACGCCTGTAATCCCAGCACTTTAGGAGGCCGAGGAGGGCGGATCACGTGGTCAGGAGATTGAGACCATCCTGGCTAATGCGGTAAAACCCCATCTCTACGAAAAATACAAAAAATTAGCCGGGTGTGGTGGCATGCACGTGTAGTCCCAGCTTCTTGGGAGGCTGAGGCAGGAGAATCGCTTGAACCTGGGAGGCAGAGGTTGCAGTGAGCCAAGATCGTGCCACTGCACTCCAGCCTGGGTGACAGAGCCAGACTCCATCTCAAAAAAAAAAAAAAAAAAGTTACGAAGATGAGAAGAAACCAGCAAGGGAAACAGAATAAATGGCCAGTGAGGAAGCGAGAAAAATGAGAGCAATGGTGCTCCAGGAACCAAATACACTGTTTCAGGAAAGGGTGAGCAACAGTGTCAAATGAGACTAGGAAGGAAAATTAACCTCTGAATTTAAACATTCTGATTAGTAGAAATTTTGGCAGAGTTGTTTCAAGAGCTATTTCAAAGGAATAGCACATGGTGGATATAGGTGACATTTTAAAGGAGTTCTGATATAATTTGGCCGTAGAGAAATGAAGCAACATCTGGATGAAGGGAGGGCTTTTCCTTTAAGGCAGAAAATTTTATCACAGTTTGAAAGCTGGTGAGAATGACCCCGAAGAGGGAGAATAATTGATGTATGAGATAGGAGGGAGATAATTGCTAGAGTAAAATAATTGGGTAGAAGAGAACGATGAGATCTAGTGAAGATAAGAGGGTAGAGTGCTGATGGGAACACAGGGAGGTTCTTCCCTACTTTTTCCTTCTTTCCCTTGCATGGGCACTAAGGTCACCAGCTGCATGGGGACTAAGCTCACCAGCTGCATAGGAACTAAGGTCACCAGCTGCATGGGAACTAAGATCACCAGCTGCATAGGGACTAAGCTCACCAGCTGCATGACGACTAAAGTCACCAGCTGCATGGGAACTAAGGTCACCAGCTGCATGGGAACTAAGGTCACCAGCTGCGTGGGCACTAAGGTCACCAGCTGCGTGGGAACTACGGTCACCAGCTGACAGTGATGATGGGGAAGGGGGCATTAGATACGTTGACAGAAAAAGGCATGAAATAATTACTTAGGGAGATGAAGCATGAGGGGAAAAAAAACAAGAAAGCATAAGAGGGCTACTAAAGAGCGATTAAGAGGCCGGGCGCGGTGACTCACGCCTTTAATCCCAGCACTTTGGGAGGCCGAGGTGGGCGGATCACGAGGTCAGGAGATCGAGACCATCCTGGCTAACACGGTGAAACCCCGTTTCTGTGAAAAATACAAAAACTTCACCAGGCATGGTGGCGGGCGCCTGTAGTCCCAGCTACTCGGGAGGCTGAGGCAGGAGAATGGCGTGAACCCGGGAGGCGGAGCTTGCAGTGAGCCGAGATCGCACCGCTGCACTCCAGCCTGGGCGACAGAGCGAGACTCCGTCAAAAAAACAAAACAAACAAACAAAAAAAAGAGCGATTAAGAGTCATTTGAGCCCAGAGGTCATAAATTTTAAGCAAGAAAAAAATTTATCTTAGGCGCAGAAGAATTAGAAGAATTCTAATATTGGTTTAGGATTTTATAAGGTTAATTTAAAGAAGGAAGAGAAGGGCAAGGGAGCTGGTATAAATAAGGGAATTCCAGAGGGCATAGTTAAGGTGTTTGGATATTCTGGCAGAAGAGGAAGGAAAGATCAGATTAGCGAAGAGGCAGAGAGCCTGTGACTATGAGTGTGAGGATGATGAGGGAATGGCAAGGGTGAGTGAAGAGCTTTTTCGGCGAATGCTTTAGGCAGCACTAATGCACATGACAGGATTGGTACTGGAATAACCAAGCCTCCTTGTGGTAGAGAGACAGAGTAGTTGGGAGCAAGGTATGGGGAACTCACCAGAGCAGGAGTAGCTGTGAGCATTGGCAATTACAACTCTCCATTTAAATGAAGAAGGTTGCACTAAAATGATGGGTCCTTAGTCTTAGGGAAGAAATCACACCTGAAACACAGTGATAAAGTGTGTGGACAATAGCATCATTTGCTGCATTTAGTCTTTCATACAATGAGTTTTTTATCTAGTCTGGGAACTTTCAAACTGTTCCACAGAATCTTGGAGACATATAAAAGTTTCTCCGAGCCACCCTGTAGAAGTTGAAGAAAAACCATTCCAAATGCTTGGCTCCAACCAGAGAAGTTAGGACTAACCTTGTTGTAAAATAAATATGCTGAGATTAATCATGATTTTTAAAAAGTTTTACTATTAAAAATAAACAGACCAAAAAAATTTTAAAAATCATCGATCTTCTCCAAACTACAGGTTATTATTATAACCTTGCTTAAGATTACTTTGCTAGAAAGCGAGGGAGCCAAGATTTAAACAGAAAAATGTCTATTTCTAAAGCTCATGTCACTTTCATTATACTTAAACTCTATACAGGCTTAACTGCTATAGTTATTCCACTATTTTGCACTTGTTACATTTCTTTTACTTTACGTATATGAGTGCATCTGGCCAAAAGTAGTCTGTAATGAATACATTTGCAATTTCTAAGTTTAAGGTAAGCTATTTTTTAAGTTAACTTTTTAAACAAATTATTTTCTCAGGAGACTGAAACAAG
The DNA here is from genome assembly GCF_000001405.40 of Homo sapiens. NCBI lineage: Eukaryota > Metazoa > Chordata > Mammalia > Primates > Hominidae > Homo > Homo sapiens. Next base: position 180,399,763 of record NC_000004.12, on the reverse strand, counting down.
TCTTTTTTATTTATCCTTAGAAATTTTTAGGCTTTGGAAGTTTTGTGTGAATACGAAAAAGTCAACACCAAGAGTTGATATGATACTTAATATTGGCCTCTAGGGAGTCATAAGTCCTGGAGGAGTCTCTTGCAATTCTTATGTGACACTAGGCATGAAAAATACAAAAATCAATAATGAGAAGACTTTACCTTAGATCTAGACTGTGAACACCACTCTTGAGAATAGGACCTTGTAGTAATCAAGACATAACCCTGCCGAAGATTGCTAGACCAGACAAAGAAACACCAGGATCATTCTTCTTAAAATGTAAATAGTAAGTAATACCAATTTTCTTCAAGGCAACCACCTTATCAGAGTAAGTCTGCGAAAGACACGGTTGTTTAACAAGTCACCAGGGGAATATTTTGGAATTGAAGCACTAACATCACAGCAACCAGATAGTGTATATGTATATAAACACCTTGTCAAATGTAAGTAGTATTTTTCCCAGTAGACACAGTGAAAAATATACTTCACTCTTGGTCAATTCTAATTGAAAAAATAACTAAATAGCTGCTAGATGAAGAATTCTTGGAAGAGTTGCTCTCCTAGCACTGGGTCTTGCAAGATAATGCCAGCGTCCTGAAGACAAAATTGGGAAGAAAATGAAATAAAAGTGTAACAAAAGATCAGTGAAGAATTAGTGATAAAATCAGCAGGAAATCCAGAGTGCTTCAAACAATAGTTCAACCAGCTGAGGACTGATAAATGGGGGTGGGGGTGCTGGGAAGCCAAGCACGGTGATAAAAAAGCAGTAGGAAAATGGGAAGCACCAGCAGGAAACTATGGAAGCTGCCAAGGGGTCCACTGAAAAGTTAATTGAAGCAACAAGCTGAGAGCTCTGGAAGTCAGAGAGCAGGCTCCTGGAGACAGATGGAGAACAGTGGCAAGAGGAGACTGATGTACCAAGAACGAAGAGAGCAGACAACAGAATGAATGAAGAAGTAGCAACCTCAGCCAAGTCTTGGGTAATACTTGGCCATCGATGAGGGCTACAGATGTAACTCTAACCACTAGCAAACAATCAGAAAAAACAGGCAGCCCCATGTCAGATGGAGCGTAGAATGTGCGTTTGAATGATGTGGAAAAACATTTGTAGTCTTTTCTGTTACACACTCATTTTAATCAACTTAAATCCAATTCCTCACTAAAAGCCAAAACACAAACCAAAACTCCAAGAAATTACTTTGTGCTAGTACAATTCAGAAAAATAATTGATGATGATGTGGTGGCCATGCATTTAATAATAAATTATGGACACTGAAGTTTCAGTCTTTGGGTTTTTGAGACATGATAATGTTGGAGAATAAAAGGAAGTTGAGGCCAGGCACGGTGGCTCACACCCCTAATCCCACCACGTTGAGAGACAGTGGCGGGAAGATCGCTTGAAGGCAGGAGTTTAAGACTAGCTTAGGCAACATAGTGAAACCTGCTCTCTGCAAAAAACTAAAAATTAGCCAGGTGTGGTTGTGCGTGCCTGTAGTCCCAGCTACTCAGGGGCTGAGGTGAGAGGATAGCTTGAGCCCAGGAGTTCAAGGCTGCAGTGAGCTATGATCCACCACTGCACTCCAGCTTGGGCAACAAAGCAAGATCCCGTATAAAAAATAATAATAAAATAAACAACAACAATGGAAAGATGAATTTTTCTGCCTACACGTTCTTGGAAGATGCTAGATTTACACAGGGGTTTCTCTTGCTCTACATGTTTTTATGAAACATACTTGCTGGGAGTATGAGTCAACACATAGGAGAGTTTGTTTGTGGATGCTGTATGTGAAAAGGCACAGGGAACATTAAAAGGGCATGTCAGATCAGACTCCACGAAAAAGATCCTTTAAGAAGCATTTCTTTTTTGGTTCTCACTGTAGAAAATACTCACATTACAAGGAGAGATGTGCAGAACGGAGTATTCGAGCAAGCTCAGCTGAAAAGAGATAACTTCCACTTCTGAATAATCGCATTTGAAAGAGAAACCATTATAAAATATCTTGAAGAATACAGACCACATGTGTTGAATTTGTAGAACTAATTTATTTTTTAGAGTTTTTAAGTGTGTGTTTCTGACTAGCAAACAGGAAACTGGTACTACTGTCATCACTACTATAAAATAAGTGTCATTAGAGAGCTATGCATAATTTCTCTTTTTGATAAAATAAAAAATAAGAGTATTGGCCGGGCACTGTGGCTGTAATCCCAGCACTTTGGGAGGCTGAAGCGGCAGATCACCAGTCAGGAGTATGAGACCAGCCTGGCCAACATGGCAAAACCCTGTCTCTACTAAAATACAAAAATTAGCCAAACCCCATCTCTACTAAAAATACAAAATTAGCCAGATGTGGTGATGGGCACCCGTAATCCCAGCTACTCAAGAGGCTGAGGCAGGAGATTCCCTTGAGCCCAGGAAAGCAGAGGTTGCAGTGAGCTGAGATCATGCCACTGCACTCCAGCCTGGGTGACAGGAGCGAGACTCTGTCTAAAAAGAAAAAAGAAAAAAAAAAACCCAAAAACGTGTATTTTCGTCATTCATTACAAAAAAGTCTCCACCTTTGCATTATTTAACTTATTTATCCAAAATTAAACAAGTTCTCTCAAGACAGTATATATACATAATGATAAAAGAATTAATGAAACAACAAAGTTAGTTAATTAGACTGAAATGAATGGCATTTTAAGCTAGAGAAGAGAGTTAAATATTTTCTTTCTTTCTTTTTTGAAACAGAGTTTTGCTCTTTCACCCAGGCTGGAGTGCAATGGTACGATCTCGACTCACTGCAACCTTCGCCTCCCTGGGTTCAAGTGATTCTCCTGCCTCAGCCTCCTGAGTAGCTGGGATTACAGGCGACTGCCACCACTCCTGGCTAATTTTTTGTATTTTAGTAGAGACTGGGTTTCACCATGTTGGCCAGGATGGTCTCGATCTCCTGACTTCGTGATCTGCCGGTCTCGGCCTCCCAAAGTGCTGGGATTACAGGCATGAGCCATCACGCTCGGCCTAAGTTTTGTATTTTTGCACAGGCAGGGGTTTCACCATGTTGTTCAGGCTGGTCTCGAACTCTTGACCTCAGGTGATCCACCAGCCTCAGCCTCCCAAAGTGCTAGGATTACAGGTGTGAGCCACTGCGCCCGGCCCAAGAATTAAATATTGTCAAGAAGAACGTTGTAGAATCAGCAATTAGATGTGGAAATATCGCATTCTTAAAATAATATTCATTAATATGAATTATTTAGAATGAGTAAGAGACTATATCAATTCTATGAGAAGATTCTAAATTTCTGGCATAATACAAAGTTCTTGATTTTACTGACTTTTTTTGAATATCACAACTAACATTACAACTGTTAACTAATATCATTTTAGAATGTAAGACCTATGAAAATAATTTGATAAAAGATGAACATTGTAAAAAAAGGACAGCCTGTGGTAGCGGGCACCTGTAGTCCCAGCTACTCGGGAGGCTGAGGCAGGAGAATGGCGTGAACCCGGGAGGCGGAGCTTGCAGTGAGCCGAGATCGCGCCACTGCACTCCAGCCTGGGCGACAGAGCGAGACTCCGTCTCAAAAAAAAAAAAAAAAAAAAAAAAAAAAAAAAAAAGGACAGCCTGTTCTGTAGAATAAACTAAATCTCCAGGGTATAAGCTTTTGGATAGTTTGGCTCATATAAGCATAAATGAATTTTTGTGAAATTTACATGGAATATGGTTTTAATTTACATTTATGTTAAGCTGATTTGAATAAAAAATTTAAAAACACAAGTTCAAAAACAAAATAATGTGCATTAAAGATTGAAAAAATCAACTTTAAATCATTTGTTTATTTGATGTGTTCAGTAGAACTTGACTCTGGTGCTAGACAACATCACTTTCTGCTATAATCATGCTTTCTTAAACTATCATTTATTGAATATTGATTTTTTGTGAATTGTGATTACATATACATGTATATAATCATACATGTGATATATCTATAATTATATATAATTACAATATTAGATGTAATTATGCATGTATATAATTATAGGTAATTATATACATATACAATTCCATATAATAATTATATATTATATATTCATATATGAGTTATATCACATGTGTAATATATGTCTATATGTATTATATAGACATATATGATATGTAATACATATTATATACGTATACACATATATGCCTACAATACATAATGATATATTTGATTAATTATGTATTATATATGTGATATGTATGTAATTCCATTTATTCCTTAGTGGAGGTGTTTTTATCTCCATTTTATAAATGAGGAAGAAGTTGAGAATTAGAGAACTGATATATGAATGTGCCAGAAATTCATATGGGCAAGATCAACACAATTAGGCACTTTATCCATGTTCATTGATAAAGTACAAGAAACTATGCAAGGAACCATGAATGTGATAGTATTTTATAAGCAGCGATTTTCAGAATGAACTAAAATTAAATCATATTTTTAAATATAGCTCTGGAAAACTCCTAGAAAAGAAATCTCCTGCATTCATTATATGCAAGGGGTGTGATACTTGTGGAAAGTTTTATGTTATGTCCTCAGATTTTCTTCTAAATTTTTTTAATTCATTGAAGCATTGATAAATTAGCCTGATAAATTAGAAAAGAGGTAAAGAGAGAAAAATGTCTGTGATAATTGTTAGCCATATGAAATAGTGGGAGAGGAACAGACCTTGTGTCAAAAGACCAGAGTTGGAAACCTAGCCCTTACACTATTAAGTTTGAACAAACCAAATATCCTCCTTAAACCTCAATCTCCTCCTGTGCAAAACAGGATAACAACACTGAACTGTCTCCAGAGAGGTTTCATGAGGCTCAAAGGAGATTCTGCTCGCTAAAGCGATTTGCGAAACTAAGTTGCTATCCTCTCTTAAGCTTAAAATTTGATTGTTAACAATGTCTTTATTTTCCTATATACATCTTTGCACACTCAACTTGTTCTTTTGTTTTTATCAAAATATTTAGCACTATATTATAAAACATTTATTTTACCGTGTGCCAAGGAAACTAGAAGAAAATGAAAGCATTGTGTGGTGAATAAAAATAGCTCTTATTTTGGTTTATATTTCAAACTTTTGAGAACTTGAACAGTGAACAACATTTTAGAAAATATAAGTTTTAAGGCCTCCTGTGGAATGAATGCTACAGGAAGGAAGTGGGCTTTGAATACGTACAAAGGAAGAGAACATGAGGCTCCCTGTGGTATGATCTCCTTACAGTGTCTAGTGGCCACAGACAGATAAGCAACAGAAAAATTTAGAATATATATTTTCATAATTCCCCTAGTATACACGTATGCAATGAATGGAAAGTCAAAATAAATGGGTGTAGAATGAAAGTGATAAAATAGACATTTCTAGCCAGTCTTGGTGGAAACATATATAAGCATCTTTTAAAATTCAAATATATCACGTTTCTTAGGAAATGTTACAAACACCTATGGATTAAAGACATTTTCTAAATAGCTGTGAAAGTAGTTGACTTAGCAATAAATCTTGGCAAATATCTCTCTAATCCTAAAAAATATTAATTAATCTGAATCAACTTATTCAGAAATTCTTTTTCTTTTATTTATTTATTTATTTATTTATTTGAGACAGAGTCTAACCCTGTCTCCCAGGGTGGAGTACAATGGCGCGATCTTGGCTCACTGCAACCTTCACCTCCCAGGTTCAAGTGATTCTCCTGCCTCAGCCTCCCCAGTAGCTGGGATTAGAGGTGCATGCCACCACGCCTGGCTAATTTTTTGTATCTTTAGTCGAGACGGGTCTTCATCATGTTGGCTAGACTGGTCGTGAACTCCTGACCTCATGTTCTGCCCGCCTTGGCCTCCCAAAGTGCTAGGATTACAGGCACGAGCCACCACACCCAGCTGACTTAGTCAGAAATTCTTACTGAATTTTATTTTGAAATATAATATTGATAAATATGTTAAAAATCAAATCTCTTATATAAAATAGGTTGAAATTGTTACACAAAAACATATTTTCTGCCCCAAATATAATAAATCATTAAACGTGTCACCTTGAAAACAAATATGTATGTAAAAGAGGTTGATTAGATTGTATCATGAAATAAAATCTAATTTAATAGTATAATCAAAAAAGCCATTTTCATTGTGGTTAGTCAAATAGAAGTAGGGTTTTATAGATTATGTAATCAATTATTTCCATGTCCTTTCAGTATTTTAACAATTATATGCAATTCCAGACCCATATAGAAATTTGGACTTCATTTGTTTGGCAATGAAATGGCGTTTACTGTAATGAACGATCAATTAATTGAGAGCCAAGATCCTACCCTGAACTCTCACTACATTTAAGCATGATTCTAGGACTGGACATGTACAAATCATTCTAATATGGATTCTGCACTTGAGGACTGAAAAGTATATATACAAGGAAGACAGATATTTACTTATTTTTTATTATACTTTAAGTTCTAGGGTACATGTGCACAACATGCAGGTTTGTTACACATGTATACATGTGCCATGTTGGTTTGCTGCACCCATTAACTCATCATTTACATTAGGTACATCTCCTAATGCTATCCCTCCCTCCTCCCCATCCCACGACAGGTCCCGGTGTATGATGTTCCCCATCCTGTGTCCAAGTGTTCTCATTGTTCAATTCCCACCTATGGGTGAGAACATGTGGTGTTTGGTTTTCTGTCCTTGCGATAAGTTTGCTCAGAATGATGGTTTCCAGCTTCATCCAGATATTTAAACTGACATCATAGACGGTAGGAAATATAAGAGAAGGAAGAGAAAAAATAATGTTTTGAGAGACATGAGAATATGAGTGGGGAAGGCAGGAAAATTATTTACAGAAACGGTGGCATTTTCCTAAGGAGCTGCTAATCAAAGAGGCTTTCAATAGTTGGAAATGGGTAGCTTCTACCAAAGCTGGTAGAAGTATGATCTGGATCCTAGTTAGAGGAGAACAGATTTGAAAATAATTCACACAGACTTTACAGTGGAAGCAGTAGTGAGTAGAAATAGATAAGTAGGCCTGGTGTGGTGGCTCACGCCTGTAATCCCAGCACTTTGTGAGGCCCAGGTGGGCAGAACACAAGGTCAGGAGATCAAGAACACCCTGGCTAACACGGTGAAACCCTGTCTCTACTAAAAATACAAAATAATAATAATAATAATAATTAGCTGGGCGTGGTGGCGGGCGCCTGTAGTCCCAGCTACTCGGGAGGCTGAGGCAGGAGAATGGCGTGAACACAGGAGGCAGAGCTTCCAGTGAGTCGAGATCGTGCCACTGCACTCCAGCCTGGGCAACAGAGCAAGAATCCATCTCAAAAAAAAAAAAAATAGACAAGTATAATATTCTGTTCCAGAAATGTGTGCCTGGCCCAGGATAGGTCAATATAATTGTCTCGGTTTTGAAGAATAAAACTGTCACTCAGCAAAACTTCACAAGTGGTGCACTATCACTCACTTAGGCTTAACTCAGCCCTTAAATTTCTCCAACTATTAATGAATGAATACAGACATATCAGGCAAAGACCCAATACAGAGCCTTTTTTAACAGTGGAGAAAGATTCAAAGAAGTGGTCAAGAGGGTAGCTGAAGAAACAAGGAAACGTTTACAGATAAGTAAGGTGCACTAGACAGTTTGTGTCTCCTCACATTCCTATGTTGAAACCACAGTCCCCAATGTGGTGGTAGTAGGAGGTGGACCATTTGGGAGATAATTTAGATCGTGAGGATGAAGCTCTCATTAATGGGATTAGTGCCCTAGAAAAGAGATTCCTCCAGGACATTCTAGCCCTGTTTCTGCCATGTGAGGATACAAGGAGTCTGCAGTCTGCAACCTGCAAGAGGACCCTCACTAGAACCCAACTATGTGGGCACCCTGATCTCAGATTTGCAGTCTCCAGAGCTGTGAGAAGTACATTTCAGTAGTTGATAAGCCACCCAGTATTGTACTTTGTTAGAGCAGACTGAACCAAGACAGAAGCCAAGAGATCGAAGATGTTAAAATTTTCTATTTGCTGATTTTGACATATAAATCCAGATAAGTAACCAGTTAACTGATTGATTCATTTAGAAGTATGATAATTTCCACAGGTTTTTAAAAATTAATTTTGATTATCTGAAAGAAAAAGTAGTTTATCCTTAGATCTTTTAATAGTAATTGAAGTAATCATTTTCTCCATACTCTTTCACATCCAAAGGCATGTTTTCTACACTACAAATAAAATGTCATCAACTTGGTGGAGATATCAAGAGGCTACTGTAATGATCACAGGTTGTTTCCCACAATTTAAAATTTTAACCCTACTTCTACTCATTCATCTACCGCCTACACTTTTTTGAATCTTTTAACAACATTAAGTTCATAAACTGTTTATTCCAAAAAGGTAGTTATATTCAATAATTATGTTGGATATATAGAGAATACAGCTCTAAGAAACATATATTATTTTGCTTAATGTTTGCTTAATATTTATTTAGGGATTAGTATTAATATGCTTATATTTATCAGTTTTATATATACATTTGCATACATATATACACACAAATATGTATATGTGTGCATATATACACAAATATGCAAATATGTGTCTACATAGATATTTACATGTACAAAAGCTACATGGATATATTATATATATTTATAAATATAATATATATACATATATAAATATATATAAATATATATACATATATAAATATATATATAAATATATATATAAATATATAATATATAAAAATATATATATAAATATATATAAATATATATAAACATATATAAACATATATATAAATATATATAAATATATAAATATATATATAAATATATATAAATATATATAAATATATAAATATATATATAAATATATATAAATATATAAATATATATATAAATATATAAATATATAAATATATATAAATATATATATAAATATATATAAATATGTATAAATATATAAATATATAAATATATATAAATATATACAAATATATAAATATATATATAAATATATAAATATATATAAGTATATAAATATATATATAAATATATAAATATATAAAAGTATATAAATATATAAATATATATAAATATAAAAATATATAAATATATACAAATATATATATAAATATATACAAATATATATATAAATATATACAAATATATATAAATATATATATAAATATATATAAATATATACAAATATATATAAATATATATATAAATATATATAAATATATATAAATATATATAAATATATATAAATATATATATAAATATATATAAATATATATAAATATATATATAAATATATATAAATATATATATAAATATATATAAATATATATATAAATATATATAAATATATATATAAATATATATATAAATATATATAAATATATATATAAATATATATATAAATATATATATATAAATATATATATAAATATATATATAAATATATATATAAATATATATAAATATATATATAAATATATATATATAAAAGATGTTGTTTATTTTAAAAACCAGAGCATGAAAGAATATTACTCTGCTGTATCATTACATTCAAATTCAAGGTTAATTACTGAGAGAGGGGCTCTATAATAAAATCAAGGCCGGTCGATTGTGAGTGTCCTCCCTTTTAAACAGCAGGATTTCTTCCATACTGTATGTGCCATATAATTACTTCACTTCAATGTAATACTTTAATGAAGACCAGTTTAATTAAATTAAATTTCTCCCTTGTGTTGACTCAATCAAAATGCATCATCCCCTCATTATAATGTTATCTGTAGGAGTCCAACATTCTAAGTGCTATAAGGAGGGTTTATTTTAATGAGAGCAGCAATAAACAACTCTCCTTTATCAAGTTACACAATGCAATTTCATAACTGAAAATTTCATATTAGGTTCACAGCATATGCATTTTAGTTCCTAATTAGTATAGTCTGTTTATTTTGCTTTATTAGAGTTAATGCCATTCAAGTAATTATCTTTTTTTGACTAATGTTTATGGCAAGCCTTTACTTAAACTGGTATAATTAAATTTACATAAATAATTAAAGAATTCTTTCCAAGCCAGTAGCTATCATCATCATAGCCTTGGTTTAAAGACGATTCATTTTTATTTCAGAGTCCTGATTAGACCGGATGTATTACAACTTGAAAGAATTTCATCTACACTTAAAGGGTCAAGATGGGTTCAGGAAAATGTTCAACAGACTCAGTGAACTAGGTAAAATGAGAAGGATTTCACCTGGTAACATAATTAATAGCATTTTGAAAGAACACATCTGCTTATGTTTTGAGGTGATGTAAAACTACCTACATCAAAATGAATTATATGTGTTTGTGTCTTTTGGGTATGCATAACTCCAAACCTAAATAAACATGTCTACAAACAATGCATTTCTCAAGCAAATAATGCTTGAAAAGCATAACTATAGCAATTAACTTTATTTTACTAGATCAAATTCAAGTGGTAAAATTTTAACAATACTTCTGGACTTCGAATACAGACTGCCTTTCCACCTTAAAGGCAGCATAGTGCGGCAGAGAACACTAGAATAAAGTTAAATTTCCACTTACCCGCCTCCCTACAATGAATTCACATTCATTCTGGTTTCCAAGTTCTTCCACTTTCCCTGGAATTTAGTTGGCCCTTGAGTTCTATTGACCATACAACCTAAGTGTCTCTGGAATCCATCTGCACCTTCCTCTCTGTCTTCACTGTCATTTTCATAAATCTGCCCATTGCAATAGCTTCTTGGTATTTCTGCCTCCAGACTCAGCCTCCGCCAAAGACTTTTTCATATTGCTTTAGAATAACTTTTAGATCTCAGAAATGCCACATGATTCCATGCCCACTTTAGATTAAGGGACAGGGATCCCAACCTACTTTGGGCTCTTGTTCTGTCCTTCCTCCAGCTCTGCCCCTCACAGTGGTGCAAGGAATGTACAAGGCCTTCAGAATCTGGCCACCCAGGGCCTACCACACATTTGCTCACAAACTATAATCCCCTCAGCACGCCTCAGGAAGCATCTAACATCTGCTGGAGCCTCTCTTGGGAGTCCTTCCTTATGAGGACAGATTGCTGATGTGCTTACTCCTAGGCCTGAGAAATGGCCACAGGGCATCTGTTTGGGGAGCAGGAGGACAGAGCTTGGACAGAGGCTGCTCTGAAGCTGTTAGGATTAAGGGGGACAGGGAACAGATCAAGAAACCTGGATCTTCCTCCTCTACTGCCATGTTGTGCGTGAACTCCGAGGAGACTAAGAATTCTGAACCTTATCCTGATCCTGCAGGTTATTATAGAAACATGTACTGTTAAGTAAGAAAACAAACAAACAAAATATTTCATTTAACTGTTCATTATAGGCTTCAAATACTTTGGTCTACAGTACAAGTGCCTCTGATTGTACTCTTATTCAGGGCTGTGTAAATGTGGGGGAGGGCCTGCATCCCTGCCTCCCAGCACGTTTACATCTGCCCGGAATGCCCTTCTATGTTCCAAGCAACTACTTCCATGAAGCGTTCCCTGATCCCATTCACAGGAAGCCTTGCTGCTCCCTACCTTTTGTTTTCAGTATACATGCCTTGATTTTATAATGTATTGTAATTATTCAGAGGAGAGCTAGGTTCTAGTTTTGAAGTTTTATTTACTACTTGTAAAAATATTGGCAAATGTTATACCATTTATAAGATTTATTGCATCTTCTATAAAAGAATCTAGTTTAACTGGATAATCATCTTAATGTTTTTAAGAACTTACTAGAAACTGGGTACCATTTTAAATGATTTCCACTATTCATTCATTCATCCTAACTACAGTCTTGGGGCTTTGGTGCCATTAAGTCATTTACATGAAGAAGATGAGGCCAGAAAGGTAAAGGAACTTGACCAACATTATTAAAATTGATACAATTTTGGCTGAACTCCCTTTAAAAGATAGTGTAGGCAAGTTTTGATTTGAATACACTTTTAATAAAGTTACTCCTTCATTCTAAACACTATGGTAAATGATTAAAGAAAAATCTTTAAGACATTATGATTAGGGAAATATTAAGAATATCAATGTTTAAAATATTGGCCCCTCATTTTTATTAAAGTTAGATATAATGTGTACTGAACTAATTCTAATCAAATGTTTTTGGAAATGTTTTGCAAATTATGATTAGAAATGTGTATATATGGCTAAGACATTATTAAGAAAAAGAAAAAATTATCTTATTGACATTTTGCTTTTTATTTTGAAATACCAATACTTTCCTTCAACAATAGAATGATAAATAAAATTCCTTGATATTGTAAAAGAGTCAATGTAAACAATCATTTTGCACACACTGAAAATAAAAATGACAAATTCTGTGCCTGACCTGAATAGAAAATGTTTTGCAGTGCTTTGTGCTAGCTGAGCATTTGCCACTAATCACCCAGGAAGCGAGAGAGCCAGTGAGGCCTATTTGAGAGCCCATTAAACCAAAAAAAGCTAGTAATTGGAAAGAAAAAAAAAATCCTACATAGGAAAGTCAACAATAAGACTTTTGTGATGTCTTGTTTTCCTTTGTTATAAAATTTTATAATTTCTTAATAAGTATGTGTTTTCATTTCATCCACATCAATATAGTTACAATCCAACAATTAATTGCCTGCCCATATATGAAAATAATATGCATATTGACTTCCCTCCCACTTTAAAAAGTGTACAAGCTAGAAGAGATAGAGATATATTTCAGATATACTCAGAACCACAATTAATGAACAATTTATCAATAAAATACAATATAAATAAAAATCTGTCAAATAGAAATAGAAAATAGAAATAAATTCCAGTGAGTAAATGGAGAAATATCAGTCATCTACAGACCTGACTGTACTCACATAGGAAAGTATGTGAGTTTGCATCACTGCACTCATGTATTTCAAGGAAAGGGCCCACTCTTCAAATATAGTTCTTCAAATATAGTTTGCTGTGTTTTAGAACAGATATATTATATAAATACAGTGTATAGTAAAATGTTCCATGAGCAGAATTAATTTATCTGAAGCAAGAGTTCAAAATTTGAGATGACCACCAATAATGAGTGCATTGGAATTTGCAGAAATTTCAGGGTAGACTTTCAATTATTCACCAATACCAAAGTTCAAGTCAATTAATATCTATAGTCACAGGGCTGAGGTGATACTAGCTGACATTTCGATGGCATAAGGTTGACATGACTAATTCCTAACTATGCATATGGAAGTAGACGGTCCAAATCTAAATAGAGCCTATCACTTAAACTATATGAGCCTTAGTTTTCTTGTTTGTAAAATGGCAAATATTGGTAGAACAAAATGAGACAAAATATATCAAATCACTTACTCCTTGTCTAATATATGTTAGAATTTGATTCTAAATACCAGATAGTTTATTTAAATATAAATATAACATAAATATAAGACTCCATTTCTTCAAGACAAACAGTTAAAAAAAATTCTGGGAGGAAACCATAGGAGCATAAGTTTTTACTCTTGACTCCACAGACCTTTGGGCAGGAGTAAGGATTATGTAAACAGATAACATTTGTGAAATTTAAATTCTTCTTGAAATGTTGCATGTGTACATTTAAATATATTCTATCTCCCTGGAAAGAAGGGATGGTTGCAAAATTCTCCTAACTTTTGTGTTCCAAGAAATGGCTAGTCAAGGGACCACCCTGGTCTTGCATATTCCCACCATTACCCTTCCTAGGCTACTGAGATAAGACGCATCTCTGGCTGGGCACGGTGGCTCACGCCCGTAATCCTAGCACTTTGGGAGGCCGAGGCGGGTGGATCACCTGAGGTCAGGAGTTTGAGACGACCAGCCTGACCAACATGGTGAAACCCTGTCTCTACTGAAAACACAAAAATTAGCCAGGCGTGGTGGTGGGCGCCTGTAATCCCAGCTACTCCAGAGGCTGAGGCAGGAGAATCACTTGAACCCGGGAGGCGGAGGTCGCAGTGAGCCGAGATCGCGCCATTGCACTCCAGCCTGGGTGACAGAGTGAGACTCCGTCTCAAAAAGTAAAAAAAAGAACCAAAACCCCAAAAAGACACATCTCCATCCTTTCTCATGACTCTCTTGTCTATCTGACTCTATCAAACTCCAGGCTCCCTTCCTTTCTTGAAAATATTCCTGATTAATGAATGATCTCCTAATTGCAATAGATTGAATACAGTCATCCTATTTATCTGGTGCACGTCATCTTTCACAACTGCAAATTCTTTTCTTGCAATTCAGTTTTTATGAGCTACCATTTGTCCTTTCCCAGGCAAAATAGTTCAATAGTAGTATTCCATTGAATAAGGGACGTTATCTATTTCTGCACTATGAAAAATTCCCTTTAAAATCAAAAGAGAAATATAACAGTATTTTTTTATTCTTGGCCACAAAAATTTTGGTGTTAGCATATTACATTTCTCAACAGAAAACATAATTTTCTGGAAAATGTTCTTATAGACTACTGCACTGTTCAATACAGTAGACACTAGCCACGTGTGGCTACTTAAATTTAAATTGACTAAAATTAAGGAAATCATCAATTTAATTTCTCAGTTGCACTAGACATACTTCAAGTACTTAAGTGTTGTATGTGGCTAGTGACTACTGTATTGGACTGTGCAGATATAAAATAATTCCATGAATGTATGAATTTCTAATGGATAACGCCAGTCGAGAAGTACTGTTACAGAAAGCTATTATGCCATATATTAATCAGAAGATACCTTGGCTAGAGAAGTGTCTTGGCAGACAAGTTACTAGGTTCTACCTTCAAATTTCAATTATTTTAAAAAATACTGTTTCTGGTTCATGGTTTCCCATATTAAGAATTTAGGCTACATGATCCTTCTAACTCCAGTTTAAGTTCTATGGTACTATTAGTGTTTTTGCTAAGACGTGTAAAGGAACTAAGACATTTACAAGGCATTATTTTCCTACTCAGAAACAAATAAAATTCAGTGAGTTATGTAAACACAAGTAGCTGCAATGTGAAAAATTTCTCTGATATTATAATAAAACTTCAGAGGAAATGCATGTAAATTCTGAATAAAGCTATATGGTGAGAGATTTTTGGAAGAGATATTATGTCACCCGAGGCTTGAAGAATGAGTAGAATTTTGACAAAGGGAATGGAAATAAATACATGCTAAATAAACAGATGAGCAAAGAGATTGTGATGGGAAAAAATGAAAGACGTGCTCAGAAAACAGTAGAGTGCTGTGGCTGGAACCCAGGTAACAGCAATGGGTGAGCTGTGTGAGAACCAGGTGGGCAGGTAGACTGGAGGAAGTCATAAGTGGACCTTGAGTTCCATGCTAGGGCATTTGAAACTACACCCTTAGACAATAACAAAATTGGTCTGTACCTGGTGAAAATGTTTGTCAACAGCTTAAATATTGGTAAGACAGGGAGATAATTAATACAACAGACCCAACTAGATGGCTTCATGACCAGGGCCTAAAATAGAGTTCAGTAATAAATATGGATTGTGAGGTAGTTCTCAGGGCTATTTCTGGAGTAAAAGTGACAGAATGGGCAAATAACTGAGACTTATAAACAAAGACAAATGTTCTCCACTGTCTAATCTATTGTAACTGGTTTTAACTGTTTCAACTGTAGATGTCTGAATGTTTTCCTTAACAGCTCACTTAATTGTTAAATTGTTTTACTGTCTACCATGACACCTATTCTTTCATGAATATTTTTAAAAATCTGTTTTTTTCCATCTAGATAATTTTGAATTTTAGAAGTAAATTAGATTACAGGTAGTGTAATCTAATAAAAATAGTAACAGTAATAATATTAATCCAAATAAAACACAATCCCAAACTTCAGCAGTTTAGTGTCTTTATTTAGAGTCTCTGAAATCATTTTAGAGTTCACTAGTGAATGGAGATGGACACTTCAAATGACACGGTGATTGGAATTGTTCCAATTGGGGATTTTTTTTGTACTTTAAACATATTTTTAAAGAAATCTGTTTGTTTTAAATGTTATGTGTTCCAGCATGCATGTAATAAATATGTATCAATGATGCAAGACACCTAGTTCAACTGAGTTATATGAAGTACATAAAATTGACTAAAATATGGCCTCAACTCCCTGGGAGCTTCTACGTTAGAAGTAAGCTACATCTGTTTGTACTTATCACTGGTGAAACTGGCTGGCTGAAGAGAACCAGAGAAAGAGGTCATAGATAACCACAAATAAAGCATAAAGCAAACTACAGGTAAGCCCTGCTTTTATGTATATTAATGTCCTTGAAGTCTTGTAGCCAGTGTGTATTAAGTAGGACCAGAGTCTCTGTCCTGGCCTCAAAGCTTTATTAGTACCAGTAAGAGCCACCTGAGTTCAAGGAAGTATGCTATTTTTGGTAAGATCAGCATATCAGGATTGTCCATTTTCCATTTAATAAAACTATTGCTGGATGAATGGGGTGTCAAAGACAGATGTGATGAATCACATAGAGAATCAATACTGGAGGATTGCCTACTTTGCATATATAAAAATGTACAACCAGCTAGATATGTATGGTAATGGAAAGCATGCAGTAATCATATCTAGGATCAATAAATTAAAGGTTCAGAGATTGTAAAACCCTGACTTTTCTATAACTTACTGATGCTTGCTGTTGCTGTAAAGATGTATGTGTCCCTTCATTTTCTGAACACTTGCAGTTTGAATCACTGATGTCCCAGGAAGACGTCACTTGGGAGAGAGAGAGAAAGAACCCACATCTAGAAATCAACTAAGGAACCACTGCACCGGCCCTCTGGAGGTGAAGAACAGTGAGGTGGCCTTTCCCCAAAGAGATGTGTGCATGTTAGGGATTTTTAGGAAGGTTTGGCTTAGATATGTTCAATAATTTCATGGTCAGTAATATTTATCTTACACTAGATAACCTTTTATAACTGAAAAATTATTTAATAAATATATATAACTGTTTCTTTACCAGCATTTATTTTCTCTGCTTCTCTCCATCCCCAGGGGACTTCCATTATTAATGCTCATCGACTACTGCCAAATGCTAGAACACCAAGGGAGATGGGCCAGGCCCAAGTCCCTGCTGTGTTTTAATCACAATTAATATGCACTCTTCCTAATTTACCCTGGATATCTCGAGTCTGCAAACCTATAATATTTGGCAATATGAAGTTGTTGGGCAAACAAAAGCAAATGACCAGCCAGCCCACTGAAAGCCTTAAAAACAGAATTTAGTGGGACATATATGGACCTTTGAGTCAGATGTTAAACTCCAGGGAGGGACCCTCTGGATCATGGGGACGTTTAGCTTCATAATCAGGTGATCGGGGACTGGGACCCCACCGTAGTGTTGTAAAACAGAACCTTGGTCTCCGCGGAACACCATCTCTCTCTCTGGGATGTCAGCCTGCAGGGATCACTCTTGACTTCTCTTAGAGATAAACAGAATATGAACACTTCACAGTGATCAGAGAAGGGATACAAGGAGAAGATGGAATTTGATCTCAACTTACATGGATACATAGGGTTTCAAAGGTCAGACAGTGAAGAAAAAAATTCCAGGGGAACGCTCAAGTGTTCAAGGCATTAGAAGCAGTTTAAAAGAGCAGGGAAATAAATTCAGCATAAGTACTAGACGTCTTTGTAAAGCAGGCAAAGGTTTTAGGCTTCATTTATGTAGTTCTGTAAGAATTATCTGTAGGAGGGATTAAGGAATTTAAGAAGCAGATATGAGAGAATAGGACACAAAGAGATTATAAAACAAAGATCTGAGGTCAAACAGTGTTGGTGGGAATAGAAAACAAATGACTTATGACTTATCTGACCAAAGCAGTAGATAATCAATAGGGGCAGACATGTATTAAAGTATGCAAATCAAACTTGTGACTAGTTTTCAATTAATCTTTAGAAATGAAACCACTACATCTACAAAGATATTTGAAATAAACCAACATCTAAAAAGCAATTCAATTTTCTGACAGGAGAGTCAATAAGCTCACAGTTATTTGAGGATTTATGTATATTGAAGCTGAGATACAGGAGGCTGGGGCGGGAGCTGAGGCAGGAGGCCCACTTGAGCCCAGGAGTTTGAGACCAGCCTGGGAAACATATCAAGAGCCTGTCTCCAGAAAAAAAAAAAAAGTGCTGAGACATAGCTGGTCCAAAAAGTGACCATTAGAATTACCTTTATCATCTTTTTGGAATAATTTTTTATTAAAATTAATGTCACTTTTAAAAAAATCACCTCACCTTCTATGGGGGGGGGGGAATTCTCCAGTATTAATATTAAAACTTTATTGGAGTAATAAGATCAAATGGTAATTGCATTACTTATCTGTTACCAAAGAAACAGACAGGTCATAGAGTAGATGTTATTCTGTTGAATGAAATAAAAAAGGCTGCATTAATAATATGCAAAAAGTGTTCATAAACTTCTCAAAACACAACAAAAATACTCTAAAGAAATATTAAAACAAATTCTGCCACATTATTGTAATATTTCACCTTTTTAGGTACTTCATCTGGGAAAGCTAATTTTTTATATAGTTTCTTTCTTTTAATCCATGAAGTTACTTGTGACATTGGTAGGTGCATATTTCCAATTTTTTTTCATCATTTTGGCTATATTTAAAATGCCCACATCCATCTAATGCAAGGGTCAGCAAATATAGCCCACGAGGCTAAATGTGGTGCCTCCCGTTCACGTATGTAAAGATTTCTGGAAGCACAGCCACGCTCATTTGTTCACCTGAGTCATGTCTGTGTCACACATCTGTGGCTGCTTTGTAGCTATGATGCAGAGTTGAGTCACTGCAGCAGAAACTATGTCACCCCAAAGCTAAAAGATTACTATTGGCTGGCCTCTTTAGAGAAATAGTTGACTGACTACTGACCTAGGACTCGTTTTTCTTATTTTTATTTTCTTTATATAAAAATATTTTTATAAGTTTCTCCTTTAAAGGGACTACAAAAGACAGAGGTTTTCACTTTGTCTCTGATTTTTCAAATTCATTATCTTAATATAATTAGACAACCATGATCACTGTAATTTTAAATATCACATCTATATTGTATCATATTTTTTCTATCTGATAAAGTCACGCAGGCTTCTCTGAAATGCCAGAATATATTACTTTATGGTAGAAAGCTGTTTGTCTCACTTTTCATAAATTTTTTTATCTTTAAAACTTTTAGTGACCCAATTCAAATTCATTAAAATCTTCAATAAAGGATTACATTCATTTTCTTCAATAAAGTTGCCAAATAGAATATAAAAGTACAATGTCATAATAAATATGTTGGAGGAACATTTTTTATCGTTCAATTTCTTAGGAATTGATTACACTTGTGTTGAAACCTCTTACTGAGGGCTTCTAAGAGCGTAAAACCCTTTGGAGAGAATGCAAGACCACTTATTTTATGCTAAATACCACCCAGCTTCTCAGAGAAGAGTGCTAGGTGAGGGTCCCTATATATTCACAAATACTCTTCATTTCCAGAAGAATGGCCAACCTTAAAAATTAAGAGTGCACAGTTAACATAAACATTCTCACCATCCTTACTAGAAACCGTGATGAATGAAAATTACTGCCATAATTAGGTTGCTTAATCAAAATGTTTGAAATCCAGAAATTCATATCTTTTTTACAATGTATGTAAAAAATACATAATTGATTTTCTGGTATAAAAAAGGAATTAAGGAAAAAATATTAATTATTTAGGAACTGAATAAAATGATATTGAGATGTAATCTTATCTCTTCTGAGTGGATAAATTTTTTTTGTTTCTGTAGAGTTTTATATTATAAACTGAAAGTTCATTAAGGTCAGGCAGACAATGTTTTTATTAGGTTCACTGTTATATTACTGCACAACAAAGTATTTGGTAAATAGTTGCTCCATCAAGATTTATTAAGTAAATTAACGAGTGTATGAATGGGCAGATACAAGGATGAATGAATAGCTGGATGAAACAAATTTTGTTGTTTTACTGTATATTTGACATGGTTTCCTTTGACTTACAAAGAACCACTGGTGATCACAGCATAGATGCTCTTGACTAGAAGGAATGTTCAAATGTTGAGATAGATGAAGAAAAAAATGGAAAGTTGAATCAGTGTCTCAGCTTTATATTGATTTTATTATAAAACAAGATTTTCTACAGTCCTAGTTTTTTTTGTATTGTTGCAACATTTGAAATTATATTGTTCAACCCAGACTGATTTAAAAATTAGAAACAAGCTTTACCAGTCAATGAAAAAGTATCATTTACCCTAGATGGATTTTATTACATTTAAAAACAGTCATTACATATTTTAGTTTTAGCTTGCTGATAATACATAGCGGTGGCAAAGCATGGAATAGGGAATCACAGAGAATTGGGCTTGATTTTTATTTTTCTCCATTACTCAGTGTATGACTTTGTCAATGTACTTATATATCAATTTCGACATTACTTAAAACAGGGGCACTTCCTTATGAAGTAGTTAGAAGTTTTAAATTAGATAAAGTAAAGGGAAGGAAGGAAAGGATGAAGGAAGGAAGGAAGGGAAGAAGGAAGGTAGGGAGAGGAGAAGGAAAGAAGAACATAGAGGAATTCAAAAGAGGAAGGTAGTAGCTAAAGCAAAGGAAGGGTGATATTAAAGTGAAGACAAAAAGTTGCAGCTCTTCTGATATTTTATATCACTGAAAAAATGAATGTAACTGCCTTGATGCCTAATGTTTGTTGTAATCGGGTCAACATCCAACATTATAGCCAAATACTGGGATTTGGTAAGCTTAGTTCCTGGGTTGGAGAGTCAGCCAGATGGTAGACTGAGTACTCTTATGTTTCAAGACCCAAGAGTAAGATGAACAAGGCACATATTATATCCTAAAGCAAAAACTAGGATCACTCAAAATATTATAACTCTAAATGAATCAGAAGTAAGAATTTAAAAATAAAATATTAATTAGGCTAAGTAAAATTGATTTTAAATATATAAAAAGCTGGTTCTTAGCCAGATGCCCCTGAATATGAAGAAGGCCAGAAAGAAAATACTTGAGCTAATTAAAAAGATGCTCAATAAGAAGTTGTACTTTTGAGATATAAATATACTAGAGGTGAAAAGTGATCAATATTAATTGTAAGGGACCAATGAAGAAAAAGCACAGGAAACCCTGAAAATGATAATCCAAAGGAATGGCATGACCTAACATGAGTTACATAAAACTGAAGTGAATACAACAGATGAAAAAGTTCAAGGGAGCCACGATTAAAGATGAAAGGTAAATTGCTGAGAATACAAAGACAAGTAATTAGGTCCTTGACAGAGATAATGCTTCTATAATGAGCCCCTTGAGAATTTTAAAGGAAACAGTGAAAACAGATATGGATATTTCACTAATTGAATTACTATTCCATGTTACCCTTGACTACAATAGGAAAAATGATTGTCACATAAATTGTATGATGGAATTACAAATACATTTTTAAAAATGAATGCTATAACGTTGCCTTGGCATTCAGGAAGGATAATTATGCTATTTGTAATTAATAAAAGATATTAAACAATGCAGCTAATTTTCTTTCCATGTATAGATAAAGAAGAGAATAAGGTCTCTATTTTTTAATCTTTTTGGAATGTATTAATGTAAAGTGCTTAAATGTGAATTTAAAACGAGGCTTCCAGCCATGATGGGGTAACTGGAGCAGGACAAGCATTTCTGCCAAAACCAATTATAAACCTGGACATAATACATGATGCAACTGTATTTATTTTGGAGAGCAGGCAGGCAGCACAGGATTTTCATCCCCAAAGGAAGGAAAAACTGGCATGAACTCCACTATTGCTTGGGCTCTCTGTCTGAAGGCACTTTCTAGGTTGCATTTCAGGCAAGTGAGCCCAACAGCACAGAGATCTCAGTCTCACTGAGCTGAAGATAAAATCAGGATTGGGGGATGCTGAGGTGCTGATGGAACTTGTTGGGGCAGAGTGAAATGAGTGAAACTAGAGGGAAATGAGCTGTACAAAGAGGGGCTTCAAGAACTCTGCACAGGAGCCCCTTAGAAGAGTCTTCAGCCAAATGCCAAGCTCTGCAAATACAGGTTGACACTCCCAAAGGCCTGACAGATCAGCTCCGGGGAAGCTTTGAGTGAAATTAAAGTGAAATATGGAATAGAACAAAAAACATTTTGCGAGTGTTGAGTATTTCAAAACTAGTTAATGGTAGAAAACAAAATTAAGTTGAGGGTCCTTGGATCTTTCCAGAGGTCTCTGCATCATCTAGACTGCCGGCCAGTATACAGTCCAACGGTGGTGATCACAATGTCTGCTGCCAGACATTGTATTTCTATTTCATTTCTTTCATTTTCTCTTCCCTCCCTGTTTCCTCTCCTCTTTCCATACTCTCTGCAGCAGGATGCTCACTATCCCTTCCTCAGTGTTGGCCCAGAAGTGAGACATACCAACAAGAGATAAAGGAAGGGGGAGCTGACAGGCACTTAGAGGAGGTGCCAGCTCACCTCTCTAGATCCCATGGCATCTGGTTACTAAGAGGTTCTCACACAGATATAATCCAATATTGACTAAAATTGAGGTTGAGAGTCATAGCCTGTTAAATTGAAAGAGGTTTCACAGGATGAAACTTAACTTCCTTCTTTACAGCACGAGTTACTCTTCAAAATTCTAGGTCTATGAAGTATGTTTGTGTTACATATCTCTGCTTTTCACTTTAATTACATATTAATTTATCCACCTACATTTCTTTCTAAAAGTCACTCTCATATTAGTATGTTCTGGGAAATGTATCATTAACCTTCCTTTTATCTTGTTTTGAGACAGCGTCTTGCTCTGTTGCCCATGTTGGAGTGCAATGGCGTAATCATAGCTCACTGCAGCCTCTACCTCCCAGGCTGTAGCGCTCTTACCATGTCAGCCTTCCAAGTAGCTGGAACTACAGATGTGCCTAGCTATTTTTTTCATGCCCAGCTATTTTTTTTTTTTCTTATTGTTGAGACTACGTCTCCTTGTGTTGCCCAGGCTGGGCTCGAACTCCTGGGCTCAAGTGATTATCCCACCTGGGTCTCCCATGGTGCTGGGATTACAGGTGTGAGCCACCTGTACTTCATGCCCAGTCTGTCCATTATTATTATTACTACTATTATTTATTTTATTCCCTGCTATTTTCCACATTTATGTTAATTTTTTCACTCCTCTTGTAAATGTATTTTCATTTGAGTATAATTAGCAAGTATTTTAGTCTGCCCTAAATATATTTAATTAGAGGTAAAGGTTAAAATAAAGTTTTAATGACAAATTACAATGAAATACAAAAGATACGACATATGCCATATAACGGTTGTCAATCAATATAAGTTAATGTGATAAATGAATGTCTACAGAAAAATTGAATGTGTCTGCTATTGTGGTAAGTTGAAATTTTTATGTTTGGGGAAAATACATACTACTCTTTAAATTTTATCATAAGACAATACATAACCATTTTACTAATCTTTTTATGTGGGCTTAGATATATTGAAAATATTTTAACATTTTAAATTTATTTACATTTAACTTTAAATAGAGAAAACTATGTGGATTTACTTGAGCTGTCTTTTAAAGCTGGCATTATTTAACTTTTGTTTGACAACATTTGAGCAGGTTTTGTTTATTTTTACAAACAGTATAACATTGAGGGCAGGGCACAGAAGCTCACACCTGTAATCCCAGAACTTTGGGGGGCCAAGGCGGGTGGATCACCTGACTTCAGGAGTTTGACACCAGTCTGGCCAACATGGCTAAACCTCAACCCTGTATCTACTAAAAATATGAAAATTAGCCAGGCATGGTGGCCCATGCCTTAATCCCAGCTACTTGGGAGGCTGAGGCAGGAGAATTGCTGAAACCCAGGAGGCAGAGGTTGTAGTGAGCTGAGGCTGCATCACTGCGCTCCAGCCTGGGCGACAGAGCAAGATTCCATCTCAAAAAATAAAAATAAAAAAAAATAATAACATTGAGAACTGTGCTTCAAAAATGGCATGTGGCAATGTTTGTAAGCTAGTTGGGCCATATATCACACTTTTATTGTTCTACAAAGAGTTTGGAAATTTAGGAGAAGATTAAAAGCTATATTTATGTTTTAAAACTTGTATCTGAGGAGATTATTCAGACTTAACCAAGTAACTCCTAGATTTTTCTTTGGCACAAAAGAAAATACTGTAAATTGAAAGGAAGTAAAATTATAATTTTGGGCAAGTGTATGGAAATAAGCAAACTGATCCACATGTTAATAAACCTATTGTTAAAGGCAATTTTAGAAATAAAATGAGTGTACTTTTATAAAACCTATAGATAATTTATTCTTTGTCAGCTTTTGGCAGTGAAAAGTTTGATTAGACTGACCTAAATTCCTGTCCTTAGATGTCCTGCCTGGGCTCAGTCCCATAAAGGGTTCCTGCTCTCATATTTATGCTTTGCTTTCTTGTTCTCAATGCTTTCATCACTAGGACAATTTTATAGATGGACTAAATAAATGGCTACAATTTTTCATGCCTCCTGTATCCATTCCTTTTGGTTATATTCTCCCACGTCAAGCCTGGATTGGGCGGACAAGTAACATTTACACTTGAACAAAATAATAAATAATTATTATTTTAGCCCTAAAGCAATGGCTGCTTACTATAATAGCCCTTGTGAGATTCAGCTTTCTAGCTTTGGAGGGAGATGATGTTCTTAGAAAAATAGCCACTAAGATGTGGCAACTTGTTTTTCTCAATAGATTGTAACTGTATTCATTCCTAAATTTTGCTTCATTAT
Organism: Homo sapiens; assembly: GCF_000001405.40. Lineage (NCBI taxonomy): Eukaryota > Metazoa > Chordata > Mammalia > Primates > Hominidae > Homo > Homo sapiens. Next base: position 180,374,913 of record NC_000004.12, on the reverse strand, counting down.
TCCATCAGAGTGCATACTAAATGTTAGGATATTAGTCTTAGTACCATTAGATAATTATCTAAAATTTCTTATTTATTGCCTTAAGAGTTTAATTTTCTGCACTGAGTCCCCAGTTAGTGTGGTGAACAACTTCTGGCACAGATGGGAAAACAGAACACCACGGACTCCCTGGGTGAGTCCTGGTGTTTCTGTGTCTTCAGGAATACCAATGTGCTTCTCTGTGATTGTACCTGGTTTGGGGTTAGGGGCCATGGCTTTTGATAGAGAATGGGCAGGCAAAAGTGTGTGAGGGATTTTCTTCCTTCACCTTCTGGAAGTGAGGTGTATGGAATACAGAGTAGTGCTGTGGAGGGAGAAGACAGGAGTCTGGAAGACCTGGAAGACTCGAGTGAGCAAAAAAGGCAGCAGATCCATGTACAACACGAGCAAGACACAAGAGAAAGCCTCCAAGCAAAGAAGGGTGTGTGTCAGAGAGTGACACCAGAGCCAACACAGGCCTCAGGACAGGAAGACCCAGACCTCCTGCAGTGACTGTAAGGGATCTAGAAGATGATTCCTGTGGGACTTCAGTAAAAGAGATATTGGGGGGGGGGGGGGGTCACAGTGACGATTTCCCTGGGTTACAATGAATCTTTTCTTATGGTTGAGTATTTCTCTAAAATATTTTGTTGGAGCTTGCTAATATTAAAGATTCCATTGTGCTAATAATGCTACAAGGCTAAGCTGAAACATTGGGTTTAGTGCTAGGAGTACTTCTACATACATCTTCTTTCCTTCCGGCGTGCCGGTTCCCACATTCTAGAGTCATCTCTAACATATCGCAGGCTCGTGTCCTATTCATGATCTCTATTAACTTACTCAGATCCCTGAGTCTAGGCTGCTTATTCATACCAATGACAATGGATTACACCCAGATGAAACTTTGAAAAATGGAATAAAAACTTCAGAAAGTGTTCTACTAAATAGATAACATAGTAAATTGAACAGATTCATGAGGATGTATTTAAAACACACACACAGCATGGTGTAAAACATTTATTTGATACCTCACAGGAGGTGATTTTGTGGCAGATTAAACTACAGAGTTAATTTGAGTTTAGAGCATGACTTTTCACACAAACCGAGGCAAGCTGTTAGAACTGAGCGGTGGTCTCACTGGTCTAAATATTAATAAATCAAATAGCCTACGTAACGCTACAAATCTTGCCATGTGTCTTAGAAACACAATTGATCATGCATGAAGACTATACAATGAAGAATATAAGTAGAAAAATGGAACAGATTGAAGACATGTGCATAAAATACTTTTGATGAAAATTATGACACAAACCTTAATTAATGTCTGGAACTAATGCATCTACTTGGCTAAATTATTATAAAAGGAAATTTTAAGAGAGAAAATGACTGATGTTTAGATAGAAAGATATAATGACTCAGAATTCTAACTGGATAGAATGCTGTAGCATAAATAACATATGCCTCTTTTCAAAATTTTTGCTTAATAACTTGACACCACAATTAAAAGTCAGTGGAATTGAATACAATATATTTTTGCGTATGAATCATACTCCTTTCCCCATACTATGCAGGTTGAAAATAATTCAATATCTTACATTCAACAATTGCTAATAAACACCCAATTATTTCTCAATTTAGCTAAAAAGTGAGGCAATTACATGAGTCCATAATCTCATATAATTTTGAAATAACAGAATTGCCCATTTAATTGATAATTGCTTTTATTCACTCATTTTTACATAGTACATATTTTGCAAAAACCTACAATTGCACTTTCATTGCAGTAGCACAATAGGGTTCTAATATTCTTCCAAAATTAAGTCATAAAATGTTACACAGGCCAAAAAACCCCCTTACATCAAGTGTGATATTACATGTGGTACACATTTTCCTGCTTGTTATATTGTTCAGATAGAATAATTACAATTACCATCAGGACACATGCTTTGGAAGGGGAAACACCACACTAAGTATGCTGCTTATTGGCCATGATCCAGCATCAGTTTCATTCCTTGGAAGAACTGTCTTGCAGATTCATATTGCACTACTTACAATAAGTGTTATTCTGAGAGGGTTTCTCTAGTTCATGTGATTAAGAGAGTTTTCACTCAAGCATGTGGATTCATTGTGATTTCCATTTTCTCAAACTGTCTTACACAGTTTCCTTATTTCTGGCTTCCAAATAAAGTATATTTCTACAAAAAAATGTGTTCTAAGAAAGTGTGCATAGATAATCATCTAGGGACAATTATATATTTATATATGTGGTTGTAATTTATAATATTAGCCAATATTTTGAGTGTTTGTTGTGTTAAAGTAAGTGCTTTACATGAATTGATTGATTTGATCATCAAAACCATCCTATGTAGATGGTCTACTATCTTCATTTTACAGGTGAGAAAATCAAGATACAGAAATATTCGTTAACATGCTTAAGGCTATTTAGTTAGAAATGGTAGGGCCAGTATTTGAATTCAGGTGACCTGACTTCATCTAGCCGTTATAGCATAATGGCAAATGTGCTGAAGTTGGACTCTCTCCGTTGAGGTTCGAGACCAGGCAAATGGCAAAAATCACTGAAGGTCCTTGGGAAAAGCATGTAACACTTATGAGCCTCATTTTCCATCCCTACACAATGAGGAAGCTGGGCTACATGTTTTTGTTAGTACTAGAATTCTTTTATTTGCTCTTTGCAAATAAGAGATCATTCGCACAATTTTGAAAAATGTCTGCTTGAATTTCATTTTCTTTGTTTCAAGAAAATGTCCTATTCTTGACCTAAAGCTCATGCATTGTATTCTCACTTTTAGGAAAGATAGATAACAGTTTTAATCTAAGAAATTTATTTGTAATATTTTACCCTGAAAAATGTGGAGATATAAAACATGCCTGCCTCTCGACTCTATGGCCCATGTGGTTATGACCCACGGGCAAAGGGGGCTTTTGACGCAGCCCTTGAATGTTAGCGGGTGCTGACACAGGCCTCATCATTGGTCAATACAAATCAGTATTTCCTGCCTGTCTTGAAACCATCAACACAAAAACAGATGAGTATAAACGCAAAAAACAAGCTTTTCACTTTTGCCCCTGTCTCTTACAATATGTCCATAGTTGAAACAGGTTGCAGCCACTTACACAGTCCCAGGAGGAAGCCTGTACATCTTCATGCCCGGGAAAACGGAAACTCAGTCATTAGAAGTTTGAGAATTCTTAGAGTCACAGAGGTACAATGGACATTGGGGTTGAGACAAGAGAGGAAGAACAAAATCAGAGTCATAACGGGGTTGGTAAAACAGGTAGCTCTTGAAATCAGAAATCTGGATTTCCATGACTGAGTGCAATGACTCGTGCCTGAAATTCCAGCACTTTGAGAGGCCAAGGTGGGCAGATCACTTGAGCCCAGGAGTTCCAAACCAGCCTGGGCAACATGGTGAAACCCCATCTAGGCAGAAAAAAAAAAAAGAAAAAAAAATTATCTGGGCGTGATGGTGCATGCCTCTAGTTCACTACTTGAGAGGCTGAGGTCGGAGAAGTGCTTGAGCCCAGGAGGTGGAGGTGCAGTGAGCAGAGATCGTACCACTGCACTCCAGCCTCGGTGACAGAGCAAGACTATCTCAAAAAAACTCAAAACAACAATCTGGATTTCCAGACAAGAAAGCTGAGCACTGACTCCATGGATGTGTGTCTATACATATTTGAGTTAATATGAGAATTCATTTCAATACTATCATTTAGTCATATCTTCACAACCAAATTCATCATGTTTTTGTTCAGCTATCTAACATCATGGAATTAGATTATGTAAATCTTTAGTGAAGGCTTTGCCAGTTAATTTGGTACATCTTTAATTATATCAGTGTCTTTAGCTTTTCTTAGGAATTTCTTTGCTCAGTTTTGTTTGCTTCACTGGCTCCCCGGGCACACGGTCCAGATTGATATAATTCATGTTTATGACTAAGTACAGAGTCCCCGAAGCTGCATTTTCAGTCAACATGCTATGAATTGTCATCATTAGAATCTGCAAACAGATGTGAAATATTTGTACATAGGTCTCAGGTTTGGTCATTTTAATCCACAACTGATTAATATTCTGTTTTGGGAACATTAAAAACTGTAATTATTTTCAAAAAATTGCCAAATAAAAGTGTCTACTTCTTATTCAACCTGACAACATCCTCTGAGAATCTTCCTTTATGAGATGAAAGGAGATTTTACTATTTTTGGTACTGTTTAGCTAATAGAGTCCTAGGAAGTTGCATTTGAATTGAATTATTTTTTGCACCAAACATTATTAAAATTTTACTTAATGATTTGGTAGCAACATTATAGAGGTGAAATGAAAAATGATAATAAACTACTTGATTTATAACTATTACTACATAAAAAAACCACTTAAAAGTTTGCAAAAGTACCTCTACTAAGTAAACTAGCTGCTGATGTCATATAGAGAAATACAGATAGAATCACCTATTTATTTTGTGATTAAGTTCATAAAAATCTACATTTGAAATATTTTTTTAAAGAAAGTAGTGTCATTCATTGTCACTTTACTTCTGAGTGGAAACTTTGTTTTCTTGGAAGTTTTCAAACAATTGTTAACTCTTCATTAGAACAAGGCTTTTTATCTCCAAGAATTATACCGCAAATATTTATGGAACTCCAGGATCTTTCATTGACTATGACAATATACATAAGATAAGCTACATTAGCAATGAAATATTCTGAAAAGATTAAAGCAAGATTTAAAATGTCTAATATTAAAAGAAATCTGTGACACAGAGAATATTAACACATTGCTATGTTCATATTAAAAGAGGTGATCTATGAATTAGCATGACTTTTTATATGCTACAAGCTTAAGGAACAATCAACAGTCAAGTATCCGAAGAAAAGGGAAAAGAAAGAGGAGGAAAATTTAAAAGTACAAATAAAATCATATTTTAATTTTGTCTGAAAATTCCATCTTCTTAGCAAACTTTGTCCTAGGCCAGATAGAATAAATAGTAAAGATAAAATTAATTGGTTTAAGCTGTGCTCCAACATTTCAACTCAATTTGTTATTCTCTGGAGAATCTAAGAAGTAATAAAATATTCAAATGTGCAGCCCCAGACCTCTCCCTGTTTATCATATTGACCAATTGTTTCCTTGAAATTATAATTAATTATAAGCTTGATATTGGGTAATATTTGATTTGTGTGAGACTGCTTTGACAGTCCAATCTTTACTTTAGTTCACCCAGTTATGCCTGGATAGAGTCAAAAAATGACATTGTGATTTCTTTTGGGAAGCTACTTTCAGTAGCACTTGTCAGGAGAGTATCTGGGAAAAAGCATTAGAAAGTTTTAGAAAATGTAACTTGCCATTAATGCCAGGTGACTTCAGGTGTTTACAAATAATATACTTAAAAATGATTTGAAAGGCTAAATCCAGCTGATTCTTGGATTACTTCTTCAGTCTCTAACTTAAAATGTTAACAAAGAGAGAGCAGAAATGGACATAGATTTGATTAGTCTGCACTTGGCGAGTGGGGAGGAAGGATGAGAATATCCCAAGTGCCAGTCAAATCAGAGTCAGACTCAGCTTACCATGCAGTATATTTAGAGTACTCCAATCATTTCTCATGCCCATAGTAACACTCTTTTTAATCAAAGTAAGACTTCTATGTTTTCAAGCCAATTCTGGAGAAAAGAACACATGCATTCAGATTGCCATTGTACATAACATTTGGATTTCAGTTATAAAAGCCTCTCATTGTGAATCATCATAGACTTTTGATGAATATCCCATTAGGATAACGATTCAGTCAGCTGCAATATTCTTTATAATTTTAAAGCCTTTTAGGCTGTGATGAAAGGGAAATAATTTTGTTTCATTTAAAAGAGGATAGTTCTGAAACAACTGAAGAATATTCAAGAAAGAGTCCTATTTTTCTTTTCCATGTATATTTTATTATACAAATTAGGTTTTATTAGTCTATTTTACCAAATGGTTTCTTTAAAACCACTTACATTAATGTAAAAGATCCCCATGCCTCCTGTTCTTACTTAGTATATTTATTTTCATTCACTGCCTTGACTTGTTCTGCAATGCCACAAGAGGCAATGAACGAATGCCAACAGCGTTCCCTTGCCCTGTAACCATGAGGAGTCAGCAATGTCTTCTAAACACCTCACTCTTTCCAGCTGAACGCTAGTTTGACAGTTATTAAAAAAATTCCTAAATCTTCTAAGCTGATTAATGTTGATGAAATTTGTCCAAAATTTAGTAAACTTGATTTCCTTTGAAACCAGCAATACTCTTGTTTGCTTCATAGCAATAGATACATAACAGAGAACACAATTTTGAGAGAACTAGAAAGTACATGCTGTTTACTGACAGACAATTGATATAGGAGACGAAATAGGTCTTAAAATATGAAAATTTAAAACCTTACTAATCTTCTGGTCACAGAAATAAGCTGCAGAAGTACCAGAAAAAAGAGCTGATGCTTCTCCTCGAAAATCAATATTGAATCCATTAAATATTCAGCGAAGTACTCTATTTAAACACTGAAATGTTGTCTAATCAAATTTACGAGTGACCGAAACCTGAATGATTTGAGAAAAGGAATTAGAGATCATCCAATAATATGTAAAGAACCTGAATATGATTTTTGTAGTTAAAATATTCTTTTCTAAAAGAGTCCTAAAAGCTTCACTAAGTGATCAGATGATCAACAGTATAGAAAAGCTTCAAAATGTCTTTCTTCTTTTTACTAACTGTAGACAGATTAATCAGGATGTTTAAAGCTGCATCCCATGTATCCACACACCTTGTGGAATCTAGACTAAGTAGTATTGTAGGGAATGCTGTACCATCTGGATTCCTGCTCAGGATGGAAGGACTTAATCCCCCAGCTATTGGGTATGATGCCTTTGTTTTTGTTTTTTTTTTGTTTCTTTGTTTTTTAGGTAAGCTCTTTCTCTGTCACTCATGCTGGAGTGTGGTGTCATTACTACAGCTCACTGTAGCCTCAACCTCCTGGGCAGCCTCTCGAGGAGCTAGGACTACAGGTGTGTGCCACCACGGCCAGCTAATTTTTTCATTTTTATAGAGATGGAGGTCTCACTGTGTTGCCCAGGCTGATCTCAAACTCCTGGGCTCAAATGATCCTCCCGCCTCGACCTCCCAATTGCTGGAATTACAGGCATGAGCCACCGCACCTGGCCAGTATAATGCATTTGACCCATCAGCCTTCTCATAAAATTGCTCTCAGGTGAAGAGAGCTGCCATAGTCCAGGACACATCTCTGTTCCAGGGACAACTACATCTAATGACTGGCCAGTGAGGAAGTATAGAGGCCTAACCCCTCATGACCCCAATTTAAGACAACTTTGAAGGTCCATCCCAACTTTGAAGGGACTTGACATCAGGTGAGGCTTTTCTTTAACTGCATCACTGCCTAATTTATTTCTCTGTCCCGTCCTGCTTCCTTGCCTTCCCCCATGAGGGAAGGACTAGACGAGGCTTCCTACCCACTAATCTCTGGCTCAGTGTTTGCTTTCTGGGGAACTTGGCCAGCCACACATGTTCACGTTCACATAACACTGCAGGTCTCTAAAATCCTGATAGTGTGCTTTCTTCATAGATCAAATAATTGTAGAGGGGCCTAAAACTGGATGCACAAGTGTGAAAGTGTGTCTTTGCCACATTTTCCAAAATAACTTTTTACAGACATTTTCAAAACTATAGGCAAGCAGGTGTAAAATCTGAACTATTTCCAGATGGCTGGCAATTAAGAACACCATGATGAATATCTTGGTGTGATGCCACATTTCATTCACTTTAAAACATAATAGAAAACTTCATGGAGATGTGAAGATAAGTGGAGAAATGCAATTATTTTTGGTAGAGCAGTGACTGGGTAAAAGCAATAATTTCTCAATTCTCTAATGAAACTATTCCCCAGAAATCATAATGAATACACTGCTCTCATTATCTGGGTACATAAAACTATTAAGTACATTAGGAGTTATTGTGTAATCAAAACTGGGTATGAAATAACCTAAATAAGTGATGACTACTTTAGAAATTCTGGCATATCAAATTTCCCAGGAAGATATAACAATATCATAAAGCAAAAGACTCTTAAAAGTGCCACTAGCTAGAGGGGCCATGGTCAGTAGTGAGAGGCCCCAGGGGGACCTGATCCTAATGATGACCGGTATTGAAAAATCACTTACAATAAAATGAGATATTCACCTTGCAGTTACTCACCTGCTAACGTAGATTTATGAAGAATTTCTGAAAATATTTTATTCATGTATTCATTCATGTCTTAGCACGTGGCTGGTAGTATTACAGTGTTGTAGAGGACATAAACTAAATATAAGACAAGCTTAGTCCTCAAAGAGAATTATTTGCATAATGAGAAATATGGTAATCATAATAACATCCCCAATAACTACTATAGTCACCATTTACTAAATGCCACTATTTACCAGGCATTGGCTGTGTGATTTATGTACCTTGCTTTTAATTCACATCAGTCGTAAGAAGTAGATGCTGCTCATCCCCTTAGTACATGATAAACTGCAGGAATGAAAGTAGGTATTTTTGCCTCATGTTTTCCAGATAATCGTTAGCTACTTTGGGATTTGAAGTTAAGTACATATGACCGCAAATGCTAACTCTTTGTTTTTGCTACCTTTCCAAAACGAAATACAAAATGCTTAAATAACAATACAGATACATTCACAGGTAAACACCACAATGACTAAACGAATGATAAAGAGATAATAAGCACTCAAGGAGTTAAGACAGAAATCAGAGAAATGTTGAGAAAAGTTTCATTTCTCCCTCCCTTCCCATACCACCCAGCTTTTCCTTAGGGCAGACTTAAATTCTTCTTTGAGAGGAAACTTTTATATATATAGAATTATATATATGTAAAAGAATACATGTAATATGTATTATATGTGTATTTTATAGCTATTTTATTTATATTTTTTTATTTGTGTATATATATGCATGTTTATATGTATGCATATATGTATGTATATATAAATACATATACGTATATGAATGTATATGCATGTATATACATATATTCATATGTAAAATGCATACACGTGTGTATATGTGTGTATATATTATATATGTATATGTAGATATGCATATATGTATATATTATATACAAATGCACATATGTACATGTATATATTATATACATATATGTATGTATATATGTATATATGTATATGTATATGCATATACATATATACATATATATTTTACATATGTATACATATGTGTATGTGTGTGTGTATAAAATTATATTGGGCCCTTTGGTTATGCAAAGTTAAAGCAAAAATGGGATCACTTGCTTTACGACATTAAGAAATTAAAATATTCTTAAATACACAGTAAAAATTGTAAATCTAATGATTCTAAAAAAATGTGCTTGTTCTCATAAGATAAGTGTATATCTGTGTGTATCCTGTTTCCCAGACATTTGCTGCTGTGAGATCAGGAATATCAGTTTTTGAGTATTGACTGAAAGGTGGGGGACATGTCTTTACCTTATGCTGAGGTAGAAACTTAAAGTTTCCAGATAAGAAATTTAGGTTCCCTGACCTACTGTGTGACATCCTCATAAAGAATGTTATGCAACATTGAATAATCTGTACTCCAGAAAATGCATTATTGTTGAATTGTTGGGTTCTGATAGGCTGTCCAGTGGGAGAAGGGGAAACTCAAAACTAAACTTATAAATAGACGTTTGAAGATGTTTTTGGTCTAAACGAGTAAGTTTACCTGCCCTATTCTCCCATCACACATCAAAATTACATCTAGAGGTAAAGGAGGCTTGAACTCAGGGTGGTAGAGCTGGGACAAAACGATTGTTCTCTGAGGAGAGGGGTTACTTCCTTAGCATGGCAGTAGTCAAAGAAGATGGCAGTCAGAAAATGGGGTGACTGCTCAGAAGGCTGAGGTGGGAGAATCCCTGGAGCCCAGGAGGTTGAGGCTGTTGTGTTCAACCTACACTGCAGTCACTGCTGCACTTCAGCCTGGGCGACAGTGAAACCCTGTCACTAAAAAAATTACCTAAAAAAACAACAACAAAAAAGAAAATAGGGTCTTCTTGTAAAGAAATGCAAATGGATGGACCCTGGTGCAGTCTTATTTTCACACACATTTTTAAACCATTCCATAATTATTTGTTTAATCATTGCCATATATATAACAATGTTCTTAATATAGTAACATGGCTTCAGTCATGAAATAATTAATGCTTTTACTATCAAAATGACAATAACAGAAAGCCAATTGATTATACTACCATATAAGAGCCCCTGAACAAGTGAGATTTCTCAAGTGACTTTCAAGAAGGAACCATGTCAGATTCTACTAAGCTGGAAGAGGAAGGTAGCAACGTTAACAAGGACCTGTAAGATAATATGAACTTTTATTTTTTCAGAAATATCGAAATCAGCTAAAGACTATAACTTAGTTACATACAGTCGTGTGCTGCATGAGAATGTTTTGGTCAATGACAGACCACGTATAAAGACCATGGTCCTACAAGATTGTAACAACCCATTTTTACTGTACTTTTTCTATGTTTAGATATATTTAGACACACAAACCCTTATCATTGCGTTACAATTGCTTATAGTATTCAGTACAGTCACATGCGTGCAGGTTTGTAGCCCAGGAGCAGCAGATCCTACCATATAGCCTAGGTGTGCAATAGCTGCATCATCAAGGTAAGTACACTCTGTGATGTTCATACAACCAGGAAATTGCCTAAGGACACGTTTCTCAGAATGCACCCCCCATCATTAAACTATGCATGACTGTATTCTACATAACTATAGATGCTGACTCCTATAAATAGGTCCTATAAAACTCGTGTCAACTAAAACCCAGTTTGCAAAGTTCTTACTTGGAGGATCAACAGTATTAACAAGGCTGTGCTTTATAAAGGGAAACCACAAAGCGTCACATGGACCACACGCTGGAATGGGAGTCTCAGCTTCTTCCTTCCACTTCTGCAAAGTAATGTTGCCCAGTATGGTTCGGTGACAGGCAAAGACTTTGCTTTATAACTAGAAAAGCATAAGGGAGAGACTCTCTTAATTTAACTTGGGAGACCAGTGTTTCAGCTATGTTATTGTTAGGATAGAAATGTTCCAGAAAAAACAGTGTGCAAAATTATCTTAGCGAGATTGGACATAGCCTTGTTTAATTAATTGATGCAATTCTAATTATGTAATTGAAGAAAAGACAATTCAGGTAACTAGGGCGTACTTCCAAAGTATAAAATCAACATTATATTTTCTCATCTGTTAATAACTAATATGGCTGAATATACAAACAACTACTTAGTTAAATTTTTCTAAACCAGCTAAATTTATAGCTCTCCATTTGCAGTCAAATACAATACTGCAGCCCACAAAACACAACCAGAAGCAATTTTTGCTTACTTCGCTATAAATAATAATAAATCATAAATGTTTTCTTGAGAAATTCTATAAATGTTGATATTACAAATCACAGAAAATTTTATTATTTTAAAATTTGCTTAATAAAAAAAAGAGAAGGCAATAACTTCACACCTGATAATGATTTCTGACATTTACATTATCTGAAATAATGACACTGAAGTGTTCTCTAGAAATAATAACAATTTTTTAAAGAGGCTGGTTAAAACACAGAGAGCAGATTATTTATAGTGTAATATATTTTGAAAATGTTCTCATTTGCTAGCCAGACATACTGAGGAGATAAGGAGTACAGGCAGAGTTTAGTGAGATTCCTTTTCTGATATTTCCCTATGTATTTCATTTTTTTTTCAAATGTCATTGAGTAAATTGATATTAGATATTTCTAGTAATAAAGAATTTTTTTAACAATGACCTTTATGACTTAATGTCCACTTCATTTAAACCTCAAAGTTAATTGATTAAAAACAAAAGCCATATTCTCTACTAATCTTTCTCCTCTTTCGTGGTCATTTTTCTGTTTGTAGCATCACAGCATCTAATTTTCCAAAACTAAGATTTTTCCAAAATTGGAATCATTTTTGCTTCTTCCCTTTCTCTTCTATATGCATCCTTCTATCCCTGTTCAAATAATTAGAATCATGTATACTCTTCTTCATTTTCAATCCTCCAAGTAACTTAGTCTATGACTCAAGTCCTCCTTAGTCTACGTGCTATATATCACCATCTTTCTTCATTCATTAAGTTGCTAAATACCTACAATATGACTATATGCATTTTAGGAATCAGAGTCAGACAGACCAAAGGCTGATTGCTGGCTTGACTGAGTAGCTGTGTGAACTTGAGGGAACAGTTCAATATCTCCAAGGCACTATTTCCTACTCTGAAAAATGGGTAATAGTACTACAGATCTCCTAGTGTTGTGAGAATTAAATAAGTGATTGCAAGGAAAGTAGAGATGATGTTGCCTGCTGTGTGCTATGTACTATATAAACATTCATTCTCCTCTTCTTCCTCCTAAACATCATCATCCTGTTGCAGTGAATGTTTTCTGCCTTCTGTTAACTCATGTCTCTGTCTTGGAACACCTACTGGTTTTCAGAGGCATGTCAGACTCAACTCTATATTCCCATCATCCAGCATAGTATCTTTCACAGTAGGAGTTCAATTCATGTGTGCCAAATTTATTAATGCCAATATGTTTTGCTGAACACATCTCTACATTTTCTTCTGTTGGAAATGAAAACCAACAAAGATCAAAAGGACAAAAAATGCATTACATAATGGTAAAGGGATCAATGCAAAAAGAAGAGCTAACTATCCTAAATATATATGCACCCAATACAGGAGCACCCAGATTCATAAAGCAAGTTCTTAGAGACCTACAAAGAGACTTAGACTCCCATACAATAATAGTGGGAGACTTTCACCCCACTGTCAATATTAGAGAGATCAATGAGACAGAAAATTAACAAGGACATTCAGGACGTGAACTCAGCTCTGGACAAAGCAGACCTAATAGACATCTACAGAACTCTCCACCCCAAATCAACAGAATACACATTCTTTTCAGCACCTCATTATACTTATTCTAAAACTGACCACATGATTGGAAGTAAAACACTCCTCAGCAAATGCAAAACAATAGAAATCATTAAAAAAAAAAAGTCTCTCAGACCACAGTACAATCTAATTAGAACTTGGGATTAAGAAACTCACTCAAAACCGCACAACTGCAGGCAAAATGAACAACCTGCTCCTGAATGACTACTGGGTAAATAATGAAATAAAGGAAGAAATAAATAATTTCTTTGAAACCAATGAGAACAAAGACACATGTACCAGAATCTCTGGGTCACAGCTAAAGGAGTGTTTAGAGGGAAATTTATAGCACTAAATGCCCACAGGAGAAAGTGGGAAAGATCTAAAATTGACACCCTGACATCACAATTAAAAGAACTAGAGAAGCAAGAGCAAACAAATTCAAAAGCTAGCAGAAGACAAGAAATAACTAAGATCAGAGCAGAACTGAGAGAGAGAGACACAAAAAAACCCTTTAAAAAATCAATGAATCAAGGAGCTAGTTTTTTAAAAACATCAACAAAATAGATAGACTGATAGACTGCTATCCAGACTAATAAAGAAGAAAAGGGAGAATAATAAACAGACGCAATAAAAATTGATAAAGGGGATATCACCACTGATCCCGCAGAAATACCAACCACCATCAGATAATACTATAAACACCTCTGGGAAAATAGACTAGAAAATCAAGAAGAAATGGATAAATTTCTGGACACATACAACCTCCCAAGTATAAACCAGGAAGAAGTAGAATCCCTGAATATACCAGTAACAAGTTCTAAAATTGAGGCAGTTATTAATAGCCTACCAACAACAACAACAAAAAATGCCTAGACCAGACAGATTCATAGCTGAATTCCATCAGAGGTACAAAGAAGAGCTGGTACCATTCCTTCTGAAACTATTCCAAACCATATAAAAAGAAGGAATCCTCCTTAACTCATTTTATGAGGCCACCATCATCCTGATACAAAAACCTGGCAGAGACACAACAAAAAAAATAATTTCAGGCCAATATTCCTGATGAAAATCGATGCAAAAATCCTCAATTAAATACTGGCAAACTGCGTCCAGCAGCACATCAAAAGGCTTATCCACCATGATCAAGTCAGCTTCATCCCTGGGATGCAAAGCTGGTTCTACAAATGCAAATCAATAAACCTAATCCATTATATAAACAGAACCAATGACAAAAACCACATGATTATCTCAATAGATGCAGAAAAGGCCTTCAACAAAATTCAGCACCCCTTCATGCTAAAAACTCTCAATAAACTAGGTTTCGATGGAAAGTATCTCAAAATAATAAGAGCTATTTATGACAAACCAACAGCCAATATCATACTGAATGGACAAAAGCTGGAAGCATTCCCTTTGAAAACTGGCACAAGACAAGGATGCCCTCCCTCACCACTCCTATTCAACATAGTGTTGGAAGTTCTGACGAGGGCAATCAGGCAAGAGAAAGAAATAAAGTGTATTCAAACAGAAAAAGAGGAAGTCAAATTGTCGCTGTTTGCAGATGACGTGGTTGTATATTTAGAAAACCCCACCATCTCAGCCCAAAATCTCCCTAAGCTGATAAGCAACTTCAGCAAAGTCTCAGTATACAAAATCAATGTGCGAAAATCACAAGCATTCCTATACACCAATAACAGACAATCAGAGAGCCAAATCATGAGTGAACTCCCATTCACAGTTGCTACTAAGATAATAAAATACCTATGAATATAACTTACAAGGGATGTGAAAGACCTCTTCAGGGAGAAGTACAAACCACTGCTCAAGGAAATAAGAGAGGACACAAACAAATGGAGAAACATTCCATGCTCATGGATAGGAAGACTCAATATCGTGAAAATGGCCATACTGCCCAAAGTAATTTATAGATTCAATGCTATTCCCATCAAGCTACCATTGAGTTTATTCACAGAATTGGAAAAAACTACTTTAAAGTTCATAAGGAACCAAAAAAGAGCCCATATAGCCAAGACAATCCTAAGCAAAAAGAACAAAGCTGGAGGCATCACACTACCTGACTTCAAACTATACTACAAGGCTACAGTAACCAAAGCAGCATGGTACTGGTACCAAAACAGATATATAGACCAATGGAACAGAACAGAGGCCTCAGAAATAACACCAAACATCTGCATCCATCTGATCTTTGACAAACCTGACAAAAACAAGCAATGGGGAAAGGATTCCCTATTTACTAAATGGTGTTGAGAAAACTGGCTAGCCATATGCAGGAAACTGAAACTGGACCCCTTCCTTAAACCTTTTACAAAAATTAATTCAAGATGGATTAAAGACTTAAATGTTAGACCTAAAACCATAAAAAGCCTTGAAGAAAACCTAGGCAATACCATTCAGGACATTGGCATTGGCAAAGACTTCATGTCTAAAACACCAAAAGCAATGGCAACAAAAGCCAAGATTGACAAATGGGATCTAATTAAACTAAAGAGCTTCTGCACAGCAAAAGAAACTATCATCAGAGTGAACAGGCAACCTACAGAATGGGAGAAGATTTTTGCAATCTATCCATCTGACAAAGGATTAATATCCAGAATCTACAAAGAACTTAAAACAATTTACAAAAAAAAACAACCCCATCAAAAAGTGGGCAAATGATATGAACAGGTATTTCTCAAAAGAAGACATTTGTGCAGCCAACAAACATATGAAAAAAAACTAATCATCACTGGTCATTAGAGAAATGCAAATCAAAACCACAATGAGATACCATCTCACGTCAGTTAGAATGACAATCATTAAAAAGTCAGGAAACAGCAGATGCTGGAGAGGATGTGGAGAAATAGGAATGCCTTTACATTGTTGGTGGGAGTGTAAATTAGTTCAACCATTGTGGAAGACAGTGTGGTGATTCCTCAAGGATCTAGAACTAGAAATACCATTTTACCCAGCTATCCCATTAATGGGTAAATACCCAAAGGATTATAAATCATTCTACTAAAAAGACACATCCACATGTATGTTTACTGTGGCACTATTCGCAATAGCCAAGACTTGGAACCAACTCATATGTCCATCAATGATAGACTGGATAAAGAAAATGTGGCACATGTACACCATGGAATACTACGCAGCCATAAAAAAGGATGAGTTCATGTCCTTTGCAGGGACATGGATGAAGCTGGAGACCATCATTCTAGGCAAACTAACACAAGAACAGACAACCAAACACCACATGTTCTCACTCATAAGTGGGAGTTGAACAATGAGAACAAATGGATACGGGGAGGAGACCATCACACATTGGGGCCCATCGGAGTGTGGGGAGCTAGGGGAGGGATAGCATTAGGGGAAATACCTAATGTAGGTGATGGGTTGATGGGTGCAGCAAACCACCATGGCATGTGTATATACCCATGTAACAAAATTGCATGTTCTGCACATGTACCCCAGAACTTTAATAGAAAATTTAAAAAGTAAATAAAAAAGAAAGCTCTATGCCTTTTTCATTGTTCATTATTGCTCACTGAGAATCCACATGAAGAATAAATTTCAAAAATAAAAACCAATGAGCCAATAATAAGTATTGGGCTAATTTGGAAAAGAAGGATGCCAGTTCATAGGCTGAAGATTCAGATTTTTAAAAAATTCTTTATTGAACTAAAGCTTTGTATATATGTGCGTGTATGTGTGTATATACATATATATGTGTATGTATACATACACATATATATGTATATACACACATACACGCACATATATATGTGTGTATATATGTATGTACACACACACACACACACACACATATATATATATATATATCCCATCTATGTGATTGTGATACATTTAGTCTCCACATTGTATAATTACACTTTACTGGAAGGAAATATTACTTAAGGGTATCTCTCCCTTTCCAGAGGCCCAGTGACTGTCAGATGTTTTGGATTTTTTCACACGCACATATACAGACCCACACAAGAACTACAGCTTCCCCCAATATTCCCCACTCCTATTGCCTCACACAACTTCTCAGCATGGGAAGGGAAACTCAGAGAAGATAATAAGAACACAAAGATAAGTGAAACAATTAGTTTTAAAAAATTATTTCCCCAAGTAAAATAATTTCATGAATGCATTGTAGGGTCAAATACAAACGATGTTAGAATATTTCACTGTCTTGTATGTTTCATGCTAATGGGTGTTCACACTGAATGTTGGCTATTTAATGATATGGAAGATTAGTTACTTTTCGAGGAGATATCCTAGAATGCAGAAGTCATATATTTTCTATGATCTGGTCTATCATCATATATTTTTACAGTGATAGTAACCAAGAAGTTGTCAGTATTTTCGATTACATACCTAGTGAAAAGAAAAGATCAATTATTATTGCCCTCAGCTGAATTTTATCTACAGTGGATATGAGATAAGATGAAAACACTAGGGTGCTATGGATGTTTATATAAGGGAGATGAGCAACATATATAACTGGGAAAAATATTTCCTTTCTGTGTTTTTCTCTCCGGATTGCTCTGCTTTTTCTCCTTTTGTGCCATTTTATTTTATTCCAAACCTGTTCATTCTTTGATATATGTTTCAGCTGAGACTTGCAAAATACATTGTTTGATAAATTAGATACTATGTCCTTATGAAAGATAGAAAGCCTTTTATGAAACACAAATATTATTGCAACCTGTACCCAAGAGGGAAATGGAATAGACAGTCCACTTAATTTCCTTTACAGTTGAAGAAAAAAATACATGAGATCAAGAAACCAAATTCTTGTGGGTTCTTTATTGACTGTGACAAAGCCTGTTAGAAATTCTCTGTTCTATTTAGGCCCTGCTACTGTCAACACAGTCCAGAACTATTCCTACAAAAGAAATGGTAGCAGTGACAATGGAAAGCATTGATGGCAAATAGGAATTAAACTTCTCTCCCCAAATGAGTGCTTTCTTTCAGCTTTCTTACTTTGGTTGGGAAGAAAGAGGCTGTTGATTGCTTCATTTATTTAGTTAGTTTGTTTGGTTGTCTTAACTAGCAAACTCAGAAAATGTTTGTTTTATATTTTTAGTTGCAAAATTTATCCATAAATAATGTATTCATTTTATAGGTCAATAAAAAAGTCACATTTGCTTCTATAATCATGCCAAAGTACTTTTAAGAATATGTATTTGACATAGATGTTTTTCTTAAGATACATACACACATTTTACTATGTATTTACAGATACAGTAATTTGAGTTTGTAGAATATAAAATTGTGAGTTTTCTTTTCCATCGTGTGTGTGTGTGTGTGTGCGTGCAAAATGTATTTATTCTATAAGCAGCTGCTCTCTCCACTGGTATTCTCACAGTCCTAATGCAAATGGCACCTCTCCCAGCTATCTTTCACGAGACTTCTTGCCCTTCTGAGGCTGATGTGTCTTTGTGTCTTACTGTTTTGTAGTTTATCCACATATATGCTGTTATCCTGTCACACTTTAATTTTTTGAAGATGTTATTAATCCTTGCATACTAAATATTATAGACTCATGTATATAATCCTTCATAATTTATTTAATGCAATGGAATATAATGGAGGCTTTTCATCTCTTCTTCTCCTTCAAAACATTTTCCTCACTTGAAAATGAAACCACAGAATACAGCACATGGAAGAAAATCTCAGGCTACATCTGTTTTGCGTAAGCCTGACAATGACAATTGCCATTAAGTTGTAATTTTTAAAATTTAACCACTTGCTTTAAAATAACTACAAACCTACCCTGAATGCTTGTGTCTTTGTGTACATTTCATGAAAACAAAGATATTCTTGAACATAGTCTCAGTACTGGTGATAAATTCAAGAAAAGGAAGACATGGAGGGCATGGACCTGCATTCTCCAATTCCTCCTTTAAGGAAAGGTTTGGTGCCACACCTGCTGGCAGTGGGTCAGCTGTCTACCAGATGCCACCTTGTTCAGGCTTTGCCCCAGCTGCAGAGATCAGCCTTGGGGAAGAACACGCCCTTTCTAGGGTGGTCCACACCCAGTGCCTGATCCCTGAAGGGGTACTTTGGCCCAATGTGGATCATATATAGTCTTAATTGTTTTATAAACTCCAGATGGAATTGTCCAAGGGCTTGTTGTTGAGACTAAATCATCTTTTAACTTCTTTCTTCACCCAAATCTTCTCCAGGTATTAATTCCTAAGTAGTATTCTGCATTTTTTTTATTTTTATAGAGACAAGGTTTCCCATGTTGCCCAGGCTGGTCATTGTTCTTAATCTAGAGTCAGGGATCATCTTTCTCATCCTTCCTTGCTTACAGGAAGGAATATGATTCTCACCAGTGGAATGAGAGAGGAGATAATTTTTGCTTCCTTTCATGTGTCATTCCCCAATCTACCAACTGAAGGATGTAGAGGATGCACAGGCCTTACAGCAAGAAAGTCCCACAACCAGGGAGGTCTTGGAGGCTGTGATTAACCGCATGGAAGCCCACCTGTCAATCAGAAATGCTCACGTGGGATTATTATGTCAGCAAGAAAACTCTTTTTTTTTTGTATGAAACCAGTAAGGATTGGTGATTGGTCTTTATTTGTCATAGCAGCTAGCATTATGCTACTTCACTCATGCACATGCATATTTTGGCAAATGACCTATACTTAAACGTAAGCAAGGATCTTTCCTGTGTTTTTTTGCTCCTCATAATACTCCAATGGTTGAGAACTTTCTTACAAAATACATAGATGCAGTTAATTATAAAAAATACACAGCTGCAGCTAACTAATTACTTTTCATTTAAAAATTAACAATTTACAGATATTGAAAGTGCTTGTCCCCATCTCTTACCTACCACCCTATTTGGAAATTGCTGCTAACTCCTAATAGTACAGAAGCTCCATGGGCATAGAAGCCTTTTCTTCTTCACATCTGAGGGCCTACTTTACTGCTTACCAAAGATTTTCAGTCTGAATAAATAAAATAATTCTATGTTCATATATTTAAATTCAGCTTTGGCCTAGAAGGTGTAAGTTTTGACCTAAATGACATAATTACAATAAAATAAATGTAATTTAATAAGTTTTTATTGGTTTCTACTTCTAGAAAAGTGCACAGGATTATATATTTCTTTATATGTATTATGATTCAATAAGTGTTGACAGAATGAATTGCCTCTAAAAAAACCAAATAAACTCAGTTCAAATAAGTACTTTTTCAAAGATATTTGTAATTTCTGGCCATACACTAAAATCCAGGATTTTTTTTTTTGTAGAAATTTATGTGAAGCAATACATTTTGAAGTTGTTATTACTATAGTGATAATTTGAGGAGGATTTTTACCAAAATATTTCTAATTATTGAGGTTAATTTAAATGATCTTGTTCTCACTTGCAAACAGGCACGGAATCCATATCTTTTTAATCATACGAAAGGAAAGATATCATTAAGAAAAATGGGCAAACTTTGTAGGTTATTATCCACTTAAAAAAATCCTGAGTATGTCTTGTTAGCCTGGGAGGATACAAAAGCAAACCAAAGCTTTTCATTGTTTCCTGTGAAATTGTATTTCTACAATTATTACACTTGACTCTCACTTAAATTTCTCTCAGACAAATCAGCTACACTGACAATAACTCTTTAATGAAACTGAAGTTCTTGGGCATATTTATTTATTTAATGTTAGGTGAATGGAGAACAGAAGTTTTCCAAGGATTCCTCCCCTACGTATTTTCTTTTTTCCCTGCCATCATGGATTTTACTGGTAAACTGGCCACTAGATTACTTCTACTCCTGCTTATCTTCTAGAAGGATGTTCTCCAAAGTCTTTGCTCTATTGATATTCAACGAAAAGGTTGTGATGCTGAAATAGGTTTGGGAAAAAATACTTTAGCATGACGGAAATTCTGCATTTAAGACACAGAACTGGCTGGGCGCGGTGGCTCATGCCTGGAATCCTAGCACTTTGGGAGGCCAGGGTGGGCGGATCACCTGAAGTCAGGAGTTCAAGACCAGCCTGGTCAACGTGGTGAAACCCCGTCTCTATTAAAAATACCAAAAAAAAAATTAGCTGGGCGTGTTGGTGGGCGCTTGTAATCCCACGTACTCGGGAGGCTGAGACAGGAGAATCGCTAGAACCTGGGAGGCGGAATTTGCAGTAAGCTGAGATTCTGCCACTGCACTCCATCCTGGGCAATAAAGAGCAAAACTCTGTCAAAAAAAGAACAAAAAAAAGACACAGAACCCCCCCTTTGTTTTTACTTTAAAAATAAATAAATAAATAAATAAATAAATAAATAAATAAATAAATAAAAATTTAAAAAAGGTAGGCCCGGCGCGGTGGCTCACGCCTGTAATCCCAGCACTTTGGGAGACCGAGGCGGGTGGATCACGAGATCAGAAGATTGAGACCATCCCGGCTAACACGGTGAAACCCCGTCTCTACTAAAAATACAAAAAATTATCCGGGCATGGTGGCGGGCACCTGCCAGCTACTCGGGAGGCTGAGTCAGGAGAATGGCGTGAACCCGGGAGTTGGAGCTTGCAGTGAGCCGAGATTGCGTCACTGCACTCCAGCCTGGGAGACAGCCAGACTCCGTCTCAAAAAAAAAAAAAAAAAAAAAATTATACCAGTGAGCACCTCAGGGGATGAATTTTAAAAGAAATATATTTTTAAAAAAGACAACATCGTTCAAGAATCATGCGCTCTGTATCATTTGCATTTCTACATCATTTCTGGGGGTCTTACATTTAATGGAAATCTCTACATCATGGTGACAGGTTTTTAAACTTTAATCAGATCAATAACATTCTGTATTCACTGAGGTTGCATGTTCAAATTTCATCTATCATTAAGCTCAATTATACATTTAAATATAAAGATAGGAACTCCAGGCTTATGGTAATTCTATAGATGTTACGTTTGTGATTTTACCATTTCTGCTTTATGATCTTATGTTGTGATAAGAATTACAGATTTCATATAAAACTGATAACTCCCTAATGACTGATACAGTCACGCAATTTCCTCGTGTCATTCTCTGCAGCCTTTTTTGTAGCTTTTGATATCCAGCAACTCCTAGTTTTAAACTTTGCCTCTTTGGCATCTGTAAAACAATTATTAATTTCCTATTTCTCTACATTTTAGTTTTTTTAAGCCTACTTCCTCCTATTGTTCTATAACACTGGCTCTTCTTACATGCTCTGTTCCACTTTCTCTGCATTCATCTTGCTTACTCCTTTCTTCCTGATATGGTTTGGATCTGTGTCCCCACCCAAATCTCCTGTCAAATTGTAATCCCCAATGTTGGAACTGGGGCGTGGTAGAAGGTGACTGGATCTTGGGGGCAGACTTCCCTCTTGGTGCTGCTGCAATAGTGCGTGAGTGTTCATGAAATCTGGTTAAGAGTGTGTGGTATCTCCCCCCAAACCCTTCCTTCTGCTCTGGCCACGTGAGGATGCCTGTTCCGGCTTTGCCTTGTGCCATGAGTAAAAGCTCCCTGAGGCTCCCCCAGCCATGCTTCCTGTACAGCATGCAGAACTGTGAGTCAATTAAACCTCTTTTCTTTATAAATTACCCAGTCTCAGGTATTTCTTTATGGCAGTGTAAGAACTAATACTTTTCCCCTTCCTTCCCTCCTTCTTTCCTTCCCTAGCTTCCTCCCTCCCTTCCTTTCTTCCTTCCTGGCTTGAGGTTTATTCTCACTTAATAAAGACTGTTTTTTTTTTTTTTTTTTTTTTTGCATTACCCTAAGACAGCACATATCTAGGGCTGAAAGGCTTGAACTCTGCTGTCAGCTCTATCTGGATTGACCTTGCTTCCTCTAGCTTAGTTATAGTGAAATAACAACAGAGAGATTTGTGAGAACTACAGGAGACAATGAATATGATTAGAAAGTGCAGTAATTGAGAAAGAAGTCTCTGATGTCTAAAATGGAGATGGGGTTTATATTAACTCAATACTTAACTCTAATATTAACTCTATTCTACATTGCACGTGCTCAAATAAAGCAAGCTGTTCCCTGGTGTACGTTTATATGTTCTTGGGATATGAGCACTATGTGTAAATTTGGAAAACAGCTTATGTCCTTTCAATTATCATTTAAAAAAATGTAAACATATATTCAAACATCTCAGAGTACATATTACAAGCTATTTGACAAGCGATTTTCTTTTTTCCTCACATTTGGAGAGTACTGGACTATATAAATTATCTACATAATGTGGATTAAAAGAATTGTACATGGGTAATGAAAATGATAAAAAATTTACTAACTCTTTCCTACATCTGTAATTCCTGTAAATCAGTGCTTTATCTAATACCACTTAATCTCAGTCATGGGAATTTAAATTTATTTGAATGCTTTATACAGAGAATTCAAAACCTTTCCAAAAATTTGATATTTTAATTCTAACTCTTAACTACTATTTTTTAAAAACTTTGATTTTATACATATCTCAAAAAATACATATACAAAATATTTTTATAGTAATTGCAAAAGGAAAAAAGTCCTTTTTTTATTTCTTTGTTTTAACTAACTTGATGAAGAAACTACAGAGAGAAAAAGAGCACAAACTGCTTCTTTCTGGACTTTTCCTAATTTTCTTTCCATTGGGTATCACTGGAGAGTCTTTCACCAATCAGAGGACATTTTATCAAAAGCTTCACTGAAATACTCTAAGCTTTTCCATTTCTTTCAGGCAAATGCTCTAGCTGATTTTATGATGCAATCTATTTTAAAGTTGACCTGTCATAACAGCAAGTAAGTAAAACCACAGGCTTGGATTTTTAAAAAAGTGCTTTCTAAAAAATGCTATATTTTGCGCCAGTTACAAGATACACAGAACATAACTTTTAACAGAATATGACGAAATAGAACTTAAAAGACATAAATTGAGATGTAAAGTAATCTGGTTACTCATTCATGTCTCAGTATTTTTTTAAGTACCTCCCATTAGTCAGGGAGTATGTCAGTCTAAGGATATCAAGATAAATGGAAGATTATTCTTTTCTAGAGGGCCACAATGTA
Organism: Homo sapiens; assembly: GCF_000001405.40. NCBI lineage: Eukaryota > Metazoa > Chordata > Mammalia > Primates > Hominidae > Homo > Homo sapiens. The sequence goes on along the minus strand of NC_000004.12, from coordinate 180,350,836 downwards.
GTAGCCTGACAGTGTAAATGGTGTGACTGATTGGCCAACAAACCACTGGAACAGAGCTATGTATATGTCTCTGAAAGATGTATGTATACAGTGATACAGGAGGAATACGGAAGAGAACACACACAAACATTTTGGAAAAAGGCAAAGACAGGAGAGTTTCAAGGAGGAATTACCTTTTTTGTGGGTAAGGACTACTTGAGAATTTACAAGGCATTCTGGATAAAATGGTCAGGACATTTAAGCCAAGGGAGAAACAAGTAGAATGAAAGGATGTGTGAAAGGTCATAGGAAGATCAGGAAACAGGAAAATGCAGTACTTTTATGTGACTGAAGTGAAATAAATATAGAGGAGTAGATATGACCTAGAATTTTAAGTCATCTATTCACTCTTGCATGACAGACTTGAGGAAACAAAGATAGTCCCCAAACGATCATCTTATGCAGTCTTTGGAAAACAGGAAGAAATGTTATCTCTTTCAGCGAAGTAATTCCAAGACTTCTGCAAGGAGTGAAGCTGTTTTTGACAACATCTCAAAAATAAAGCAGCTTAAAAAAATTTTCTGAGTCTGTGGGAAGAAAATTAACATGATATCTGAGATTTTTAAAAGTTGACAGATTTTGTTTTGTTTTGTTTTCAGGTATGAAATAATTTGAATCAGAAAGTTTGGACGAAAATCAATTAGGTAATGTTTGAAAGGGAATTAAATGTAAATGACTGTCTTTAAAAATTGTATCAATTAAAGAAGCATACATGTAACAGGGGAAAATGCATCCTGTAATTAAGTACTATCGAAAGAATTACACTTTCTTTTTTTTTTTACAAAGCTCCTACACTCTGTCCCTCACTTCCATTCGCCAAGCCTCATGCACTCTTCTCAAAAATAGATTCACCCAATGAGGACACTGATCCTCTCTTGTTTTTATTTCTAGTTTCAGAACCTTTTATGTGAGTATACAGATACTTGTTAGATTGAAATTAATATGTTGTCAGGACATGGTTATATTTTAGAGGCAAAAATGGTCATGTTGAGAATGAATTTTTATATAGATATTTCCTACCAATATAAGCAAGAAACAGTCTCTTTCTGTATCTCATCCAGATCACTGTGGTACAGTGAAAAAAGCAAAGGGCTCATAAAAAGGTAGAGAGGAAGATTTGAGTCCTATGTGAGTTGAGCCAGTCTCTCTCTCTCTCTCTCTCTCTCTCTCAATGGAGGTGACAATACTTACTTGAAAGGCATCAGGGAAATCCACAGTTGGTGGACATATGGTGGTGGGGCAAGCAATGCTGGAAAAGTAGGCAAATAACAAAATGTGAAGAACATTCAATGCCCTTCTCTTTAGATTAAGAATCTTAAACTTACTAGATTCTGATGAGTGAGAGATAGAAAATCTATATTTCATTTTGAAAGATGGGCATGCTAAGGAGATGTAAGTATAAATGGAGTGAAAATGAATTACTATGGGTTTCTTTTATCTTAGAAGTACTGTTTTCTTTTTATTACATTTTATTGTTTTTAATGGTATTCTACACACACATATATGGTTTTGAATTACGTGAGTGGTCAAGAAATCAAACTTTGCCTATGTAGTATCACATTTAAAAGACAGGCATCTCGGGCTGGGCGTGGTGACTCATGCCTGTAATCCCAGCACTTTGGGAGGCCAAGGTGGGCAGATCATGAGGTCAAGAGATCGAGACTATCCTGGCCAACACGGTGAAACCCTGTCTTTAGAAAAAATACAAAAGAAAAAAAAATTAGCCGAGCATGGTGGTGCATTCCTGTAGTCCCAGCTACTTGGGAGGCTGAGGCAGGAGAATTGCTTGGACCCGGGAGGTGGAGTTTGCAGTGAGCTGAGATTGCACCACTGAACTCTGAACTCCAGCCTGGCATCAGAGCAAGACTCAAACTCAAAAAAAAAAAAAAAAAAAAAAAAAAAAAAAAAAAAAAAAAAAAAGCATCTCATAAATATACACAATTTAAGAAAATGCATGTTAGCTATTTAATTCTAAGGTACGCAAACATAATTTAAGCATTACATTCATTTTGTAATGTTTCTTCAAAGTAACAAAAGAAAAAAAAATGGGGAAAGATTAGAAACTGAGAATCATTAAACTATTTGTTACATTATTTGTATAATTCTAAGACATTATCAAGTTTAAAGTTTATTTTAAATATATATATATATAGATTAGGCAGAAGAACACATATTTCTCCTGTTTTGCTATTTTTAAACTAAATACAGATATATCAGAATCAATTGTTTTATTTAGAAACACTTCCCAATGACAGCATTATCATACATACCTTCTCTACTAAATATATTCACATTATTGATGTGCTTAGAATTGTTCTCTTTTCATTTTATTAAATGTGTAAGTATGATTTATATCAATATACTATTTATGATCAGGACTCAACAGCTTAAATGACTTCATTTAATAAAGAAAGATACAATACTGATTCCTTGTTAAAACTATTTGAAATGATAAAATCTTAAAAAAACCTTACTATTTCAAAATAATTAACAAAAAATTAATAAAGAAATTGTAAGTTTTAATTATGCCTAAATAAGTATCTATATCTTCCCAATTTATATTCATTACTTAATAAATTTGTTTAGTACTTACTGACTGCTAGAGTGATAAGCTAAAATTCCCTAAAGAAATTGTCAAGAATATTGAATAAATTAGAGATTATGTGATACTTGTAGATATGTAGATATGGGAACTGCTTTGTCTTTATTTTCAAAGAGACAAGAATCAAAGTTCACTGAGGAGGAAGCTTATCATCTCATTTTGATTCCTAGTCTTAGAAAATATAAGGTGACTTGTATAATTTTCCATATTGTAACATCTAATTTATTATAATCTTGGAGAGAAATTCATGTATAGCCAATCATAGTCTCAGGGAATAAAAAGAATATTTTTCTCATACTAGCCTATTATAATTGGCTAACTTTATTTGTAAATATGAAGGCTACCTTATAGTTTTTATAGACTGAGATTATGCTTGGAAGATGGCAGAATCCTTTTCAATATGATACAGGTTTTATTTAAAATAAAAATCTCATATAACTGCCTTTGATTTTTAATTGGGTATGTTATGCTATTATATGTTCTGGAAATTGAAAAGAGTATTTTTGAATCGATATTGTTCTCTTAACTGGGAAAATACTTTCTTTTTTTAAGCCAATATAACATTTGTACATTTTTTCATTAAGAATATGATCACTAAAGAAAAGTGTGAAAATGGCATCTCGAAGGTTCATCATTTCTCCTAACCATAGAATATTTTGATCAGATCTTCCCCCTTGAAACTGCCCACTGACTATGTAATTCTCAATCACTGCAACCTACGTCATCCTAAGACAGTCAGAGAAGCAGAACCATATTCATCACACGTAGGCAGTTGTCGACTATGGCACTATCAAGCTTTAATACCCTTAATATAAAACCCCTACCTTCTGTATTCTGGATATACAACCCCGACTGGTATCAGAACAGAGCAAGCATAAACTGAGAAGACTGTATCTCAGAAGCGGAACTCCTAGTCAGAGAACCCAGACCTGTTTGTCTGTTTCTCAGTGTTTCTGTTTACTTTGATTAGACTGTAACCTAATCAATGTATAATGGTGAGGCTATTACTTTTTTAAGAAAATAGAAGGTAGTAACAAACATCCATTTACTTCTCCATTTAATCCCTTTTAAATTAAATGAAAATAAAATATTTTCATATTGATTCATGTCTCTAAGCAAGACCTAATTGCACTATGGTACTTAGCTACCATTAAAAACTACGGTAAATACATTTAAGCTACTAGTTTCAACTTCAAAACAATAATTTTAACCTCAATTTAGCACAGATTATTTGCAGAAAAAAATACATAGGAAACCCTTTTATATAGGCTTTTGTCCTAATCAATTTTAATATTTCTTATCAAATATATATTTCTTAATGTCATAATTTTCTGTTATAAATATTATTTTCAGGTATAAATATTAGCTTACTATTATTTGTATTTTGGATACTTGGGATGTTTATTCAATTTAAGCTTGTGAAACTGGCAGTAAGTTTAAGCTCTAAGTAAATTTTAATCCCCAATGTTGTATTCATTAATCAGTGATAATTTACACTAATATAAGTTCATTGATCTTATTCTTCAGACTCTCCCTTGTAATTTCATCCTTTAGAAGACATTATTAGATACATTAAGCAGTGGCATTCTATTCCAACAAATGAGCCTAGCTTGACTGCTGGAGAAACACCCAATTAATAATGAAATATCAAGTGACTTGTATAATTTTTCATATTATAACATCTAATTTATTATAATCTTGGAAATTCATGTATAGCCATGCAAAAATGAATTATCAGAAAACATATATCACTAGATACTGACTAAATCAATTGAAATCTACATATATTTCTCATTATGTTTATCTTCAAATATACTTGACATGGACATTCTTGCTGTTTAATGTATATCATGAACATTTAAAAATGCTTTAAATTTAAACCTTCAATTTATTAATGAAATGTGGAGGTATCTACTTTACAAAGTTTAACTGACTTTATTAGTCTTAAATCTACAGTCTCTTTAAAATACTACCTCATGCCCTCTGTTGCTGAGAATGGTTTCTTTCTTGCTTTCCTAAAATCCGTTTTTAACTTAAGATGGGTCATGACCACAGTGGAGGAAAAAGTTATTATAGTGTCATTTTTTTCATATGGTATTAGACTTTTAAAGAAGAAATTAAATATTACTGTTACTATAACTAGAAAACCTGCCCCTCAAATGTATTTTATCATTTGAATCTAAAAGTAGCTCTTTACGTGGACAGTGGGATAATACTGATACTATTTTGAAATAGGATGCCTACCCTTTTTAAAGCATTTCTCTTATCTTCTGTCACTTTCTACCCATTTATTCAGTAGCATTCATTGCCTCAACCAAGGGAAAGCTGAAAGACAAAGAAAAAGCACTTCAAGTTAAAAAGTTTAGGCTTTTGTACTGCCAAATTCTTGACACTAGACTAGGTATAAACTAGAGAGCATAGGCAGAGGTAAAGTAAAGACTACAGGCACTGGAGGAAGAAAAGGAAAAAGCAAATCCCACCTCCATGGAAGCCACACATCTGTCAGGCTTGCAGAAATCCCTGCACTGGGCATGATGCAGGCACAGAAGACCACCCACATTCATCAGGAAGACAGTAGTGAACCACCTCCTAGAGATTCACTGCCCTCAAAGGGCATCAGGAATAGCAGTATGATTCCAGAACAGCCAAGGTATCTAAGAAATGTGCAGTGGGGAGAGGCTGGTATAGTGACCTTCATGAACCTTTCATCAAAGAACCAGTGAAAACAGGAATATCTCAACATTTTGCTTGTAAATTTTCCAGGGAACAAGACCAACCGCAATCATGGAGAAACTCTTCCCAGGTGGACAAAGGAAGAATTAATTGGATCTGAGCCCATCAAATCAAGAAGCATACCATAGTATATACTGGAGAGCTCTGCCTAAATTTCTTCATAAGAGCCAGGGCACCTGTTCCCCAGCTGCTAGAAGTGTCACCCTTTAATGATTCACAGTTGTGTCCCTCATTAGACATATCCCCCACTTGCAGAAATTGGCCTTTCCCAATGCAGCCCATGGCCAATGACTGGCTAAGGCAGGGATGTAAAACTCAGCTCCATAATCTCAATTTGGGCCAATTCTGAAAGTCCATCCAAGCTCCAGAGTTCTCTGGAGAATCAGTTGCAGTCACATTGCAGATCAGCTCCTCCCTCTGCCCACCTGCCTTTCGCACATCCTTATAGCTGTATCCCCTGAAAGCATCCCTTCATGACAATGCCCCTTCTGCAACTCAACTCACCATCTCAGAGTCTGTTTGAGAACTCACTTAAAACAAAGGGATAAATGATAAATAACTTTAATCCTAGAGTCCAAAGGCAGACACAGGTAGTAGGGCTTTGAATATTTATGGAGGGGACGAATGGAATCTTGCTATGACAAAAAAAAAAAAAAAAAAAAAAAAAAAAAAAAAAAATCTGAGCTCCTACTTAACACCTGCTGGTGGAAGTGTACTGTCTTTCTGAGATGATGGTTTACTTTAGCTCCTGGGGATTCTCAAGGACACTGTCTGTACCCTGCAGAAGAGTCACACCCGTGACCAGCTCTGCTCTCCTCCCACAACTGGCTGATCCGATGCTTTACAGAACAGATAGGTAATCCTGGCAGATTAAATGTGGTAAGAATTCCTGATTTGAAGTTTCTAAAATCTAGAGTACTAGGAGAAAATATTAGAAATTAATTGTTACAGAAGAATAGAGAAATAGTGTTTGAACATCTAGTCTGTTGACTAGAATTTGTGCAAGTTACATAAAAGAGGTATGATATTGCTCATTTTACAAATGGGGAAACTGAAGTTTTGATATGTATATACATGCCCATATTCATCTTGTTTAAAGTGTCAGAGAAAGATTTGAACCCAGGCCTAACTTCAAAGTCCTCATTTTTATCACATCCCTACGTAGTATCATACAGTTGAAACAATTATTTTCATTATCAAAAACTATTTTATAATTATCTTAATTTTCCATTTATGACTTCTCAGGGATTTTTTAAAAATGTGACCAATGTTTCTCATTTTTCATATCACACATATAAAATTATTTCTGACATTTTATTGCACTTACGATTAGAACAGAGAGTAGAGTTAAAAAATGTCAAATGCCTTTTTATGGTTTTTTATACATTTAAATATTTAAGAGATTAGGCAGACATTATTTGCTTTAATTTTTATTTTACTTTTTCTCTCTGTAAATGAAAGAGTATGTCTATGGCTCATTTTGTTTTGTTTGTTAAATATTTTATTAAATAGCATTCAATATGATTTAATCATGAATGAAATTCTGAAAATGTGTAACAAACAATTTACTGTGCCTATTACAGCAATACAAATTTCCTTCTGGCTTGAGGAAACAATCTTGACAATGAAACTTAAAATTTCAGAAAGGTTATTAAAAAATATTATCATGTATCCAAAGGTAAAATAATTTTTTACATATATTGAAAAAGATACATATTATACATTAACATGGGATTAATTTTTATTTATATAGTCAATTACCTCCATAAAAGCTACAAATAATATATTTAAATACACTTTTAAAAGAAATAAATGTGAAAGGATGATTTTAGAATACCTTTAGTCATTAATCTATGTCCTGGAAAGAAAAATACAATCATACACAAAACAAAACAAAACAAAACAAAACAAAACAAAACAAACTTCTTGGCTAAAATGCCACAGGGCTTTGGGGTATAGAGTCCTACGACAGCTAAAGCAATATCAGAAAGATATAGACCTGAGTTATGCCAAATTTCTTCAATCATTTCACCCCAGAAAAGGTCTCTTTTATAAAGGATATTATCTTATTAATAGGTCTTTTTCAAATCAAAAGCTTAATGAAAAGAGAAAAGAGATAATGGACTCTCATAAATTATATTTCAGCTTAAAAGTTATTTTCAGAATTTCTCAAAGAGAAAGCTGAGAAAATACTACAATATCTAATCAAAGGAAATATTTGAAACCCCTATGAACAGTGCTACCTGCAAGAATTGTGGGATATTTTCCTTTCAAGGAAAACAAACAAAGGTTGCATATGCCTATTGTGCTTTCTTATTAAATATATTCGGTGACTGACATTTGTTTCTCTTTTATCAGTAGGTGATTCTTTAACTTCTTAACACATTCTTCTCATAAATGTAGTAATCACAAAATGCTCATGAATTTAGCTTCTATCGTATTTTCCAGGGTTTATTAAGATAACCCTTTGAATGACAGTATTTTTTTTTGTTCTAAAATACGGGAAGCCAGGTAGATACTTAATCCTTTGGAACCGAAACGGCTAATAATAGTGCACTAATATGTACAGAACTGTGTGTGTGCATGTATACATACCTTCTTATTTAGCACAGTGTTTAATATTATACAAAATATTGAATAATTTATAGCATATTCACTGTGGTCAGCTTATAAAATAGAAGTTATTTTATCTGTGCTTTGAAGAATATAATGGCAGATTAACTATTCAAATAAGTAAAACTTGTGATAGTTTTCATATACCACGTATCAATTTATTTCTCAAACATGATAGCCCTGAGTATATTTGTGATTATTTCTATTTATATATTGAAATTAAACATTTATTTCTTTGTTTATTAGTATGTTGCATAATGCTGGTTCTAGATTTATTTTTAATTGTTAAAAATTAAAAAGTTACTTAAAATATTTAAAGAAAAAAATGAATGTACCTGGACAGTTAGGATTATACAAAAATTATTGCGTTAAAAAATTAAGAAAACAAAAATGAACAAAATAGGATTGAACAAAATTTTACAAAATAAAAATAATAGCATGGCAACTTCCAAACACAATAATAATGAGGGTCAATTGTAAACCTTATGGAAGGCAGAGACAGGTGCAGAGTTTGACCAAGCTTACTTTATGGAAAAGATGAATTTCCATTGCCTTTCATTTTCTCTTTGTCATTTTGCTTTTAATTAGAGAAAAATGAAGACAGAGGAAAAGAGAAGAAGAGAGAGAAGATGGTTAAAACTTGCTAAGAAGCCAACACAATTATTCCTCTCTGGGAGTTTCGGATGAACAGAAGGCAGGCTAAGCTGGAGATGTAAGTGCCTAATTAAAGACTAAAGATGCGATGCCTAAAGGGAGCAGGAGTAATACACTGGAGAAGTCGCAAACACACAGATATTCGGAATTGAATCCTCTGAGTACTAAAACAGATTGAAACCATCTATTTCCTCGACTACTAGATTCTGTAAGAGCTGTTTGAACCATGGATTTGTAAAGTATTTTAGGGCCCTAAAATTCTGAAATTGAAGGAAAGATTTAGGGTTATTAAAATACTGATTGTAACTAGCAGTTTTCTGAGAACAGTGGAATTTTAGGAGCAGCACAGGCAATTTTAAGTGTAAGCTCTTCTTTAGTATGGAAGCACTTCTATTATCTTCCTATGAGAGAGAGTATATAAATATATATCTCATATATAACCACTATATATAATATGTATGTATGTGTGTGCACCTTTGTGTGTGTGTGTGTGTGTGTGTGTGAACCTTTGATACAAACCAAAAGAATATGGAATGGTTACCTCCTTTGGGATCATCAGTAACGAGCCTAGAAAGATGTTGAGATTTATTATAGCATATTCTTTTTTTTTTTTTTTTTTTTTGAGATGGAGTATTGCTCTGTCACCCAGGCTGGAGTGCAGTGGTGCAATCTTGGCTCACTGCAACCTCCACCTCTTGGTTCAAGTGATTCTCCTGCCTCAGCCTCCTGAGTAGCTGGGACCACAGGCATAGGCACATGCCACCACGCATGGCTAAGCTCTGCTTACACGGAAACAAAAAACAAAGAAATGTTTAAGTATTATTTTGAATGGTTACATCCAAGTACCTAAACTTATATACAAGAAAATATCCAAATTTCAAAACAGATAAATTCATCTCCCCACTCACTTTCTCATTCCCATACAGTCCTAGTGATTCTAAACAGTTAAGAATCCTAGGAAACTTGGAGCTCTCTTTGACTCTTTTTGTTGCAAATCTCATATAAATGACCAATCTCATTATTCCATGACTTCTGCCTTTGAAATAAATCTCAGATTCTCCTGTTTGCACTGTTTCCATTGCTAACACTCTTCTTGTGACTTTTCTCGTTTTGCTCTAGGATTATCATATATGATATACAATATAAAAAGATGATGAAAGTAAAAGAAATTATACAAAATAGAAAGATGACACACATGCACGTGTATGCTCAAGTGAGTGTATGTGTGCGTCTGTGTGTTTATGTGTATACAGAATCAACTCAGAGAATTTGCTAATCATTTAATTTGATGAGGACTGCTCAACATATTGACCATGATAATATTCTATGGAGATCTTAAACTAAGCAATATGAAAAAAAAATTGTTAACTTGCACCTATATTCCATGATACATCATGTTATGTATGTACTTTAGTACACAGTATGTACCTTAGTCAACCTGGAGAAATAATTGAAATATTTAGTAAGATAGGTTGATAGATGATTCATAGACAGGCAGACAGATATGAAAAAATACTATAAAGTGAAATAAAAGAAACCTTTACACTTGCTTGCTTTTATAAAATAGTCCTTTATTAATCATTCTCATTTTAAAAAAGAGAACAGAAAGGATACTTTGGTAGGATAGAGAAGTTAACTTAGAAATATACGACCCAGGAAGGTAATGGGAGTTTTGGCCTCAACCACAGATCTTTTGAAACTCTGCGGAACAACCTACCTATTGAAATAAGCATTCCCATTTCATGGATCATTAATTTCTTTTTCAAGTGATTAACGATATATGATAGAAGAAAGTCTTAACCAGACCAGGAAAGAGGACATTATAAAGTGGCTTTTCTATCTATTAAGTCCCCAAAGATTTTATCTTGTCTGTTTTTGATCATCTCTAGTGCTCATGTCTACAGGGAAGAATATTCTTTCTAATTGTTCTCACTGACAGAAACATTTTTCATTATACTTAAATTTTTATCTTTTTAAAACTTCAGATCATTATTCCTTGTTCTAAGACCTTAGCTAGCTAAAATAGATCTTCCTTCTCTTTTATAACATACTATTGCAAGTATTTATATATAGTTATAATATCCCCTCATTTGTCATCATATCTCTTAGCCCTACATATTAAATGTCTTTAATTTTCTTTATTAGATCATATGCCCCTTTCTTTATCATTTCCACCATCCTTTAAATTGGCTAATTTTTCAGTGTGCCTTTCATGTCAAAGAAGAGATATGAGAGAAAAGAAGAAAAGAAGAGAATTGAAAGATACATATATATACACACACACACACACATACAATATGTCGTATAACAATATATATGTAGTTATAAAAAAGACTGATGTTTTATTTTCGTTTCCCAACTCAACTTCCTAATTTTCAGTGAGAATATGAAAAATGTTTATATTAAGCTTACTTTTGACTTATGGTAACATAAAAATCAAAGATCTCAGGTAATTTACCACCCACACTATTTAACACACAAATAGACCCTTAAGAAATTATTAATACTGTATGAAGAACATACTTCAAAAATGTAAAAGGAAGGTGTCTGAGCATTGATTAGCAATCAGAAATTCCACCACAGAGTGACTCTTCCATTTTTGGTGTCTGGGTTTCTGTGCGCATGCGTGTGTGTGTGTGTGTGTGCGTGCATGTGTGTGTGTGTGTGTGTGTGTGGTGTGTGTTTTAAAATGTAGAGCAACCATTATAATATCTAGTCTACTGAGTTTGCCAGATTATTTTATAGAAAAAATGAACTAATAGATTAAACATCTTTGAAATTATATAAGGTCTATAAAAATACAGACATCTATTATATTCAAGCAAATAACGATCAGAACGGAATATTACCTCTAAACCATGTCACGTGTCAGAAACAGTAAGGAAACTCTTCCAACACTGCTGAAGACAACGTTATTACAGGTTTCCTAATTGGTCACATACTTTCATGTTATCCACACCTTTGATCATAGTCCTCCCTCAATCTGGAAATCTCTTTCCTCCATTTCTGCTTCCTGAGACCTTCCAGAGCCAGTTGAACTCTCTCCTCCTCTATGTAGGTGGTGTTATTCTTCCTAATTAATGTATTTTAACTTTATTCTGAACACGCACAACACTATGTTCATTTGACAGATATTTATCACGTATTTTTACAGAGAGTAAAGCATTTTGCTACTTACAAGAAACACAATAGTGAGAAACTGTTATCTGCTCTTGTGGTGCTAATATTCTAGTGGCAAAGACTTAAATTAAATAAGCACAAAAATATGTAAGAACTAATCATGATAGATGCTAGGAAGGAAAATGAGCACACTCTCCTCTTCGCTTTTCCCACAGTTCTTCTCACACTGCAATAGCTGAAGTGGGTCCAGGCGCTGTTTCAATGGAAGCTGAAGCTGGAAACTTCATTTTTTTTAAACTTCCTTAAGAACAGGGATCAGGTCTTCTGTTACTTTATTTATACCTCTTACGGTATCTAGTACAATGCTATAGCAGGTACCCAATGCATGCATGTTAAATGGAGTGCAGGTGTGCTCACTTGGGATTTTTTTTTTTTTTTTAACACAATCAAAGAGTTTGCAGACCACCTGCATCAGAAATACCCAGGGTGCTTGTTAAAATGCAGAGCCCTCTGAGACCTTTTGAAACAGAATCTTTGGTGGAGATTTGGGAATTGAAAATTTCAATTATGTTCCCAAGTGATTTTCACATACACTATTATTTTGGAAATCACTGGAGCAGAAGATATGGACCACATGTTTAGAGAATCATTTACTGCTTATAAAAAGAATTTACATTTAATACAGTTAGTATATAAAGTATAAAAAAACAGGCTTTTTTGGTATTTCTTTGTATATGTAGTTGATGCTATTTGATAGACATATTATATTACAGATATCTTGTTTTCCCAAAGCCCTCAAGGAGGTTTTCTGTCACGTGTCTATAAATGAAGAAGTAGATGCTCTTGTTTGCGCACACAACATCCTTTCTGTCTTTCCCACAGAGTGCTGACTTCTGCTCTGGGTGACAGTGTGCCCACGCAAAAGTACAAATCTCTCGGAGCTGGCTGTAGCCATAAAGTGCGAGAAGTCACTAAGTAGGGTTGCCAGGAAAAGAAAATGTTAAAAGGAATGATTCTTTGTCCTTTCTGCTTGCCTTTTCCTCGTGCTGAGAATGTGGGTATGTTGGATAGAGGTGAAAATCACACACTTCCAGTGGTGAAGTAGAAGGATAATGGTGCCTGGGAGGTTGATAACCACAGGGAATGAAAGGCAGATTGCACATCTCAAATTGTTACGTGGGAAATATAAACACCTTTGTTATACCAACCACTATATTAGTATTTATGTCCTTGATTATTTAACAGATAACTCCAAACAAGACATCTGTGGTAACCAAAAATGTCCATATCCTAATCCTTAGAACTTGTGAATAGGTTACATTACATGGCAAAGGAGAATTAAGGTTGCAGATGCAATTCATGTTACCAATCAGCTGATGGGAGATTATCCTGTATTATCTGGGTGGGCCCAATGTAATCAGGAGAGTCCTTACAAGGAGAACAGGGAGGCGGAAGAGTCACTGTCAGATTGATGCAGCCTCAGAAAGACTTGACTGGGCATTTCTGGTTTTGTACATGGAAGGTGATATGATTTAGCTGTGTCCCCACCCAAATCTCATCTTGAATTGTGGGAAGGACCTGGTGGGAGAGAATTGAATCATGGGGGCACTTTCCCCCATACTGTTCTTGTGGTAGTGAATAAGTCTCATGAGATCTGATGATTTTATAAGGGGTTTCTCTTTTGCTTGGCTCTCATTCTCTCTTGCCTGCCACCATGTAAGACATGCTTTTCACCTTCTGCCATGATTGTGGGGCCTCCCCAGCCACATGGAACTCTGAGTCCGTTAAATTTAATCTGAGTCCATTAAATCTCTTTTTCTTTATAAATTACCCAGTTTCTAGTTTATCAGCAGCGTGAAAACAAAGTAATACAGAAGGTGTAAATTAAAAGTAAAATCCTAAGTTCTGCAGCCCTGAATAGAACCCCGCTTCGCCAAGTAAACTTCAGAAAAAAACCTTAAAATCTTAGTTCCCTCCCGTGATGGGACAGGAGGTCAGACATGCCTCCTTATAACCTCTCCCTTTTGTGGTTTAGACACAACAGCTGACCAGCATTAATGTTAAAATAGAGATCATAAGACTGACAGAATGGACTCTTTGTGGCAATAAGATACCAATTTATAAACAAGACCTAAGGCCTTGCCAGGCAAGGTTTAGGTCCACACCCCTACACTTAAAGAATAAACCATGTCCTAGCTGCTACAAGGCTTCCTTTTTTCTCCAGCAGCTAAACAAGCACCAGCCTGGAAATAAGCAACATTAAAACAATTACAACTCATCCAGTTCACAGAAGCTGACTGACTCCCTGTTCTGCCAGCCATAAATGCAGCTTTGACTGGACAAAAGACTGATCTCAATAACTTCCTCCTGATAAGAAAACCACCAACCAAGAACTGGTTCTGACCAGTTTACAGAGGCTGCACACTTGTGTACCTTTGCATCCTGAAAAGACCTTTGGACGTACAGGCCCTAACTGTAATGCATTTAAATGTGAAGTTTTCACCCCAAAGTGAACATGGGGCCTTTCTTACATGCATGTTTTCTCAGTACACATGTGCCAGGACTACCCCTTCATGAATATTCATAGCTCCTCCTGTAACCTGTTGAATATGTCTGTTTAGCCAACCTGTTTGGCCTAAAGATCCTGCCCCAACCCCTCCTCCTTTGAAGTGCCTATCTTTGGTCTTGCCCAGGGGCTGCAATTCCCAGCCTGCTTGATGGCCACCTTGCAGGCTGTAACACTTTATAAGAAATATGGTCTCCCTCTCTCCTTTTCTAAACTTTTAATTCTTTTTTTAAGTTAACAAAGGGGACCCAGTGTCAACAGAATGTAGGTACTTCTAGAAGCTGGAAATGGCAGGGAAATGACTTCTCTCCTATAGATGTTAGAAGGAACATGGATAAATCGATTTTACCCCACGGAGACTCATTTTAGACTTAACTGTAAGATGATAAATTTGTGTTGCTTTAAAACCACTAAATTTGTGGAAAATGTTGTAGCAGCAACTGGAAATAATGTGATATTCAGTTCAAAAAGATAAACTAATGCCTATTTAAATTTTAAGAAATATTAAGGACACCAATAACATTTTAAAATATAATATGCTCTGGGTTAATTTATATACACAGATACAAAAATAAAAGATTGAAGAAGAATCTTTTCACGAAAAAGGCCAAGAATCTGTAATGAATATAAGAATATTCTACCATACAATGATTCTTTGTTAGAACACAAGCTACCATTCCACATGTGATAATACTTTCCCTCCACAAAAATATAGGCAATATAATTAAAACAGTCTGTGTCAAATTCCTTAGCCATGGTTGACTCACTTCTCAGCTGCAAACTCAGAGGCAATCTGGTGCTGAGCACTACAGCTCTAGGCAGCTCTCAATCTTCAGGGCCTAATTATAATAGTTTTATTAACACAGAGTAGAGTTAGCCAGAGGATTTAGTTCCAGGAGATGCAGACCTGATGTGGGAAAAATCAACCTGTGCTTAGAAACTTTGACTAACCCTCATATTATCAAACTGGCTCTCCTCTCCTTCTCTTTCCACCTGGCTATTTGTACGCAACCTCAGAGGGTAATTGGTCCTTCCTATGATTGGTACAATTTTCCTTTTTTTCCCCAAAAATATGTAGCTTACTTACAATTCTCTCCTTATTCAAGATGGCTGTATTTAAGCAAATATAGACAAAGATATCTACGCTCAGTAGACAGATACAGACTTAACAGAGGAAACAGAATGCCTCTCTATACCCAATGGGTTTATATTTTCTGGAATTTAACTGTCACTAGATAAAACAATCAATCCAAGGCAATTTCCTGGTTACTTCTAACACTTTTGATCCAGGAACTGGACTTGTCCTTCAGGGCGAGGGTGATGAATACAGGAGGGCAAGTTTCAGACAACACCTGCAGGTGAGCAGTTGTGGACAGTGTTCAAATGAGCTCCAGATTTGACTTGAGGAAAGAAACGCACCTTCAGATTTTAGGTCAGAAAAATGTGCCTGTTCAATCACATGCGCATGAATTTATAAATAAGAAACACGAAGCAAAACAATCCCCAATTCAATTGTTAAATATTTTATGAATTATTATCATCTATGTTGCTTTTTATTCAGGGTTTATCATGACCTACATAAATTATGTGACCAGTTTTTTGTTTTACCACAGATTCATTTTTTTTCCTCATAAGCCCTTGCAGTTTAAGATTTCTTAGGCTAAACTCAAAAACAGATCTTTTTTTTTATCTGTTTTGTGAGAATAAAACAGATTCCTTTTTTGATCTTTTTTATGAGAATAAAACCTATCTTTTATTCTCATAACCAAATATAATCCTTGTTCTAGAATTAATTTTAGAACATATTTGCTACCATAAAACATGTAATTATTAAAGAATTTAATAACTTGTAATAATTATCAGTTATAAAATTATAGGGTTCATATTCATAATTTTAGATATGCAAAATTTATTTTTATTTTATAACCTAATTAAATGGGTTTGGTAAACCTTTTCTCTTGGATGTTTTCTACTGAGACTTGGAAGGAAACTCAGATATGAGCCGTGCATGGTGGCTTATTCCTATAATCTCAGCACTTTAGGAGGTTGAGGCTATATGATCACTTGAGCCCAGGAGATGGAGAGCAGCCTGGGAAAGATGGTGAAATCCCATCTCTACAAAAAGAAAAAAAAATTAGTTGGACTTGGTGGTTGCTCCCACCTGTGGCCCCAGCTACTCGGGAGGATGAGGTAGGAGGATTGTTTGCACCCAGGAGTTCCAGGCTATCAACAGTTTTCTTATAAAACTGAAGAAATTGAAGATGGGCAAGGTCACCAGCTGGTGAGTATTACAGCCTTACCTGGCTCCACCATGGGAACCTGCAGACTGTCTTTCTCAAAGACACCTCTGCTTTGCTGATGTCATTGTTAGTGACGTGTTCTGAGAACAGATAAATGAAAATTCTTTAACTTAGCCACAAATACTTAAGGTACCAATTTAGATATATTCACTGTGCCTGACTTTAGTAAAAGGGCAAAGATTAGTGTGTGAGAAATGAAAAGATATTTCACACACAATAAAATAACCCATCGTAATAAATAAATAAATGAACTAGTTTTGCACTCACTCTATAGACATTGCCATAGTTCTTAGATGACCTTATAGATAAGGAAAAAACAATGGAAATATTCTATAAATTATTTGTGTTGTTTATTTAAATAATCTGGGCTATAACTAATAATTTGTGCCATGTTTCTAAATTTAACACTATCCTCAGAACCAAACCAAGCAGTAAAAAGCAAAACAGCAGAACTTTTATTTCCAAATAATATAGATCTTCTAAATTAAATATAAAGCATTATCACTTATAATACTGGATCGGGTACTAAACTGGTTTTAGTTTTTTAAGCAAACATGTTTATTCTACTTGCTATGTCATGATTTTTAAAAGAACTTAAAATCATTGAATCATTTAGTCTTCATAACAATGCTATCATATCAGCTTTGTCAGGTTTGTACGATTATTACCCGTAATTTAAAGAAAGAGAAAAAAAAGTTGTTAGTGTCAAATGAAGCTACATTAATTAAATGAGGTATCTAGAATGACGAAGGGACTGCCTCCTTGCTGTTCCTTGAACAGGGCCTTTGCGTTTGCTATTTTCTTTTTGCAAATACCTTTTCTTAGATACCACTTAGCTTATTACTCAGGTTGAGTCACATCTTCACTCAAATGTCTTGCTATTATGAGTTCTCTTTTTACCACTCTATTAAAAACAGCATTCCATTCTCATTCTCTATGTCCTGTTTTATTCATAATTCATAGCACTTATTATTTGTTCATTATTTTTCTTCCTTCTCTAATGCTCTGAAATCTGCAAATTTGTATAGTTCAGTGCCTGGGAGAGTGACCCTGACTCATGGCTGGCATTAAATGAAAATATTAATCAAATAAATTTTAGGCCAAGATAACGTGATGATGTCATGCTTGATACCATCCTCCATGGTGTTACCAAGTCAACAGATTATGGGTTAAAATAATATTAAAAAATTAAAAAAATTTTCTATAAAAATACACTCAAAATGCAACATGGTTTGAAAGCAAAGGGAGGCAGAGCCAATGAGTCATATTCATCCTGCAGAATAATGTGCCCTACTACAACTGAGCCCCAGAAGAGGAGTAACTAAAGCCCCAACCTGCTAACATAGGACCGTGATTATGAAATGGGGCCCTGTATATTTAGTTAAAGACAAATGAAAGAATCCTAGACTCTAATACTTGCAGGGCTGAGCAGAGAGAGAATTTAATTAAACATAAGCCTGCAAACCAAAAATTAAAAACAAATAAAAAGGCTAATGTTAAAGACACCTCCCCCAACAAAAAAAAATCAACAATTAGAAAATGAAATCATTCAAGATTTGTAAGAAGTGGCAGATCAGTTTTAAATGAATTTGAAATAAGTATGTTTAAAATAAAGGGTAACAATGAAATAATGTGTTATACAAGACAAGAAATAATGTAACAAAAACAGAAATAAATGAAAAAAGTACATGTGGAGTATAAAAAAAGTGAGGAAATTGGTCAGAAAGCCTCAAAAGAAAAAAAAAATAGGTCAAGGTAGGTCAGTATCAAAAGGAGAGAGATATTGAGCCAAGGGTATATTTTGAGAAATGTTTTTCATTTAAGACTTGGTGGGAATACACATCATGTATTTTTGGAACAGCAGAAAGCCAGAGTAAGTGGAGGAAAGATTAGTAAAGGAAGATGTGATCAAGGTGTTTAGGACCAAAAAATATGATAATGATTAAAAAGTTCTAAGGAAGTCTAATAGGAGTTCCAGAAAATACTCTTCTCCCCCCGCCGAAAAACATCAACAGTGAAGGAATTATGGAGAAGCAGAGATAAAAGAGAAAGTAGGCAAGAATGTTCCTCCATTAAATACAGACCACCTTTGAAAAACAAACTACAAAATATGCTTCAAAAGATGTAGAGTGGCTGGCAGAAGAAATGTGTTCCCACAAATATAGAGAACATATTAGATAATTTAATTAACTTTTGACTATTAAATAATAGCTTTTGTCATTTAAAAAGTTGGAGAAGTTATAAAGAATAACATGAGAGGTGAGGCGGGTGATTGTTCAACACAAATCATGAAAAGGTTCTTGTCACCGTCCAGGAAGGGATAGATAATGAACAACTTTAGATTTTTTAGAAGAGAAATTTGTTTGTTACTATGGCACTAGCTTTAGATCAGGAGGGGTAAATGGAAGCAACTATCAATCTGCAAAATGGAGAAGAGCGAAAGCAAAGAGGAAGGAAGAAGAAAGTAAGCAGCAATCAAATAAACAACTGCTACTCAAGATGAGTCTGCAAACAGAAATTCTGCAACTCAGTCTACTGTAGCATCACAGAGACTCTGCAGTAGGATTAACTTGTCTTGAATCCTGGCACTCCAGTACTATTTGAGCTTGGACAATTGAAATAACCTCTCTAAATTGGGGTGCCTTTTTCTTTGACATGGGAATCGCAGTGCCATTGTCCTTATAGGCTTATTGTGAATATTCAATTAGATAATGTTCATTAAAAGAGCAGTTGTTAACACTAACTAAACATTGCATTTAATGATATTGATGTACACAAAAAGAAACAGTAGGAGAAATAGTATTTCTAGCAAAGATGAATCCCATAGGGACCAACACAATTTGAGCCAAAAAATAGAAAAAATGCTGAAAGAAAATGTGTGTGTGTGTATATACACATATACACACACACACATATATACATATGTTTTTACATATTTTTCCTATATACTTGCCTGTTTATGCACACAGATGTATATATCATTTATACATACATATGTATATATACACACACACAGAGCACATATGTCAGTTGTGTGGTCTAGAAAGAAGCAATGATAAGGTGTTGTTAATTGCACATATTAATTATTCACAATGGTTGAGAAATATGAAAGATGCATCTTTGACCTAGTATATACCTGGATTTATGTAATGGATAAAGGGAAATAAATATTTGATACACTTCTAAGTCCTTTAAATTATTTTAAAGTTATAAGGTTTTAAAACATTCCAGGTCAAAATCTAAGTAGACAGTGCATTGTTGAAAGTTTTAATATTTGTGCTTGAATTTTGCTGAATAAAAATAAAAAATGATTATGGTCTTTTTATGTGTGTGTGTGTGTGTGTGTGTGTGTGTGTGCTAGGCAGTCTAGTCAAATTACTGTTTATTTCAATTTTACAAGTGAAACAAAAGAATTTGATCTTTTAACGATCAAATACAGACTTCTGGAACAGACATAATGGCATAGGCATGCTTTTCCTCATTCCTCCCTGATAAGCACAATTTTAACACTGGAAATGACTCAAGAAGTAAACACGGAGCAGCTCAGAAAGGTAGTAAGAAGAAGGTAGTTGGTCTGGAACCCCAGGCCTAAAGGAACAGCATGGGCTGGGCATTTTATGTCCTCATACCCAACAGAAGATGACCTAGACCCCTAATCCAGCAGCAGAAGGTAGCTGAGGTAGGCTCATTCTTCTTCTGGATACCAAACAGGAGTCCTGACAACAGGTGAGCCAGGTACCACTGGAGAGGGAGATCAATCAGAAGATTTGCTAACACCAAGTGACCAGGAAAGTCCATATTCTCCATCCCCATATGCATGAAGCTCCCCTCCATGCCAAGAGATGCTGAGGTGGAGCACCTGAGCAGAGGTGGGTGAGGGACCAGCATGGGACCTAGTCACAACAAGTGTCCCGGCCCAGGATGCCTCTTTGATCTTCAGGCCTGAGACCCACCTGCTCAGCCCAGAGACTATGGAGCAGAATGGGAAGGGGCTGAGGAGGTGGCATGAATAAGGGGATCCTGCTGCAAAGGTGCCCAACTCAGAAAGTTCGCTCCATCCCAAACAATCAGGGAGGATCACCCCCTTAGGTGCTAAGCCAGGAAATGTTTTCATGGACTGAGGCTCCCTTCTCCCATAAGAAAACACGCTGTAGGCATGATAAAGGATGATACGGAAACACTATGAACAGCTTTATGTTCATAAATTCCACAACTTCAAAGAAATGGACTAATTTCTGGAAAACAACAAGCTCAAAACCTAGTCAACATAAAATACTTAAATAGTTATATAATCATTAATGCCATTGAAATTATAATTAAAGACTTTGAAAAAAAATCTCTGGGCCCAGGTGAATTTATCAGAAAGTTCTACTAATATTTAAAGAAAATATAATACTAATTATAAAGAAAATAGAAGAGGAGAAAACACTTTTCTATTCATTTTATGATGCCAGTATTATGGCATCTAAATCTAACAAATATAATACCGAGAAACATATATAACACATATAATATATAAAATATATATACGTATATATATACACATATATATGCACACACGTATGTATATACATATATACACATGTGTATATATATATACGTGTGTATATATATGCATATATATAATATATGTCAATATCTGTCACGAATTTAGCCACAGAAATTGTCAACCAAATTTAGCAAGCCAAATCTAACAATGGATAGAAATAATTAAGCACCATAACCAAATGGGATTCATTCCAGGTTTGGAAACCTGGTTCAATATTTGAAAATCAATTTATATGAAGCACCATATAATGAGGTAGAGAAAAAAAGTCAGATGATCATAGCAATTGTAAACAAAAAGGTATTTAATAAAATCTAACATTCACCAATGATAAAAAACTTCCATCAAAATAAGGATAAAGAATTACCTCAACTCCACAAAGAACATCTAGAAAAAACCTACAGCTAATGTCACATATAATGTTGGAAGACTGGATACTTTTCCCCTAAGATATTGAACAAAGTAAAAATGTCTTCTGTCACCACTTTTATTCAAAATAGTGCTAAGTATTCTAGCCAAAGCAGTCAGGTAAGTAAAATAAGTAAAAGACAAATAGGAAAGAAAATAAATTAAGCTGTTTCTCTTTGAAAATGACAAGATTGTTTACATTTTAAAAACCTGAAAAGTCTACAAAAACCGTTCATAGAACTAATAAATGAATTAGAACTAAGCAAGTTCAGAAGAGTCTTGGGATGAAAGATCAACACACAAAAAACATCATATTTGTTTATACTAACAATGACTAGTGCCAGTATCATTTTAGTCACCCAAAGAAAATTAAATATGTTAAGTGTACACTTAAAATATGTATAGGGCCAGGTGCAGTAGTGCCTGTAATCTCAGCACTTTGGGAGGCTGAGGTGGGAAGACTGCTTGAAGCTAGGAGTTCAAGACCAGCCTGGGCAACAAAGGGAGGCCTTGTCTCCACAAAAGATTAATTTTTTTTTCAACTGGCAGGGTGTGATGAACGTACTTGTGGTCCCAGTTACTTGGGAGGCTGAAGTGGGAATATTGCTTGAACCCGAGTTTGAGGCTCCAGTGAGCTATGGTCATGTCACTGTACTCCAGCCTTGACAATAAAGTGAGTGTCTCTAAAACAAAAACATGTATGGAATTGATATGCTGAAAACTACAGAACACTGAAGAAAGGAATTTTTAAAAGATCTAAATAATAGCAAGAATTACAGTGCTCAAGGATTGGAAGTCTCATAATAAAGATGTCCATCATCTCCCAAATTGATTTACAGTTTTAATGTCATTCCCATCAAAATTTCAGCAAGGATTTTGTAGAAATAGATATGCTTTTTCTAAAATTTATATAGAAAGGTATAGGCCCTAAAATAATCACAATGACCTTGAGCTATAATAATCATTCCAAGAAAAATGAAGGGGGAGGCATTACTCTGATTTTAAGTCTTACTCCTCAAAAGCTACAGTAGTCAAGATAGTTTAGTACTGGTGGAGAGATAGACGTATAGATCAATAAAACACAATGGAGAACCTAGAAATTGACCAGCACAAGTATGTTCAGCTGATTGTTGACAAAAGTACAAAAGCACTTCAAGGAAGTAAAGACAGCCTATTCAACAAATAATGCCAAGCAATTGGACATTCATTGGTGAAAAATTGAACATCAACCTAATCCTCATAGCTTGTACAAAAATTAATTCAAAATGGATCATGGACTTAGATGTAAAACATAAACTATGACATTTCTAGGGGAAAAAAAGAACACAGGAAAAACATCTTTGAGATCTAAGGCCAGGCAAAGAATTTTTAGACTTGATACCAAAAGCATGACACATAAAAGGAAATGTAAGTAAACTGGACCTCATTAAATGTAAAAATTTTTGTTCTGTGAAAGACTTTGTGAACAGGATGAAAAGATAAAAGGCACACTGGGAGCAAATATTGCCGACTCAATACCTGACAAAGAACTAGTATCTGGACTATATGAAGAATTTCAAATTCAACAATGAAAAAAACAAAAAAATCCAATCAGAACCGGCAAACTAAAATCAAATTAAACCCAACTAAAAATTGAAAGGAACTGTAAGCAGTAAACTGTAAGGACTTTTATTTGGAATGATGGCAATGTTTTTTTAAACTAGTATTCCTTATTGCACAACACTTGAATGTACTAAATGCTACTGAATTGTTAACTTTTAAATGGTTACTTTTTTTTTTTTTTCCCCAGATGGGGTCTCACTCTGTCGCCCAAGTCTGGAGTGCTCTGGCGGGATCTCGGCTTATGGCAACCTCTGCCTCCGGGGTTCAAGCGATTCTCCTGCCTCAGCCTCCCAAGTAGCTGGGATTACAAGTGCCCGCCACCATGCCCTGCTTTTTTTTGTATTTTTAGTAGAGACAGGGTTTTGCCATGTTTGCCAGGCTGGCTTCAAACTCCTGACCTCAGGTTATCCACCCACCTCGGCCTCTCAAATTGTTGGGATTACCAGCATGAGCCACTGCACCCGGCCGGTTCTCTTTATGTCATGTGAATTTCACCTCAATACATATGACAAAAAGAATCTCTCATAAAGAGCTCTCAGGGAAGTATCATCATGCACCTATCAGAATGGCTAAAATAAGAACAAACAGGTGTGAACATCAAATGCTGGTGAGGCCATGGAGATCTGGATCCTCATACATTGCTGGCGGGTAATGTAAAATGGCACAGACACTCTGGAAAACAGGTTGGCAGCCTGTAATAAAACTAACCATGCAATTATAATATGAACCAGAAATTGCACTCTTGGCCATTTATCCCAGAGAAATAAAATCTTATTTTCACTCAGAAACCTTCTCAAAAATATTTACAGCATCTTCACTGTAATAGCCAAAACTAGAAACAACCAGTATGTCCTGTAGCCTGTGGACGGTTAAACCAATTGTGGCACATGCCTACCATGGAATAGTACCCAGCAATAAGAAGAGAAAACTCTTGATACACAAAATAACTCAGAGGAATCTCTAGGGAATTATGCTGAGTGAAAAAAAAAGCTAATCCCAAAAGACTGCATAATGTGTTATTGTATTTGTAGAACATTGTTGAAATAATTCTATAAATAGAGAATAGTTTCACATTTGCTAGGGGTTAGGGATGGAGGTGGGGGTGGGATCTGGGGGAGAACCGTGAAGGGGTTGGATGTGAATATAAAAGGGCAACATGAGGGAGCTTTGTGGAGATGAAACTGTACTCATGCATGGCTTAATGGCAGAGCTACATTCTGAGAAATGCATGCTTATGTGACTTTGTTATTGTGCAAATATCATAGAGTGCACTTATACAAACCTAGATGCAGCCTATTGGGCACCTAGGCTATATGGTATGACCCATTGCTCCCAGGTTACACACCTGTACAGCATGTGACTCTACTGAATCCTGTGGGCAACTGTAGCACAACTGTAACACAATGTTAAGTATTTGTGTATCTAAACATAGCTAAATATAGAAAAGGTACAGTAAAACTATGGTATTACAGCGTGACGGGACGACTGTTGTATATGCAGCCTGTCATTGACTGAAAAGTTATGCAGCACATGACTGTATTCAGCATCTTGAGTCAAGTGGCAACTCCATGAACCTATACATGAGATAAAATTGATTAGAATCGCGCACACACACACACACACACACACACGTGTGCATAGATAAGTACTTGTAAAACTGGCAAAACCTAAGTCAGATTGGGGAATTGTATCAATGTCAGTATCCTGGTTGTGATTCTATAGTTCACACAAAGTTCCCAAAGGGAAAACTGGGTAGAGCATACAGTGCCTCTCTCATGTGAATCTATTATCTGCAGAAATTTTCAATAAAAAAATGCAACAGATTTAACTTAGCCAGTTCAATTAACCATATTCATTTGGCCTGAGATGCCCACTTAAAATATAAAAAAAGATGAATTAATTATAAAGTGTTTACAATACAATATAGTGGTTTTCATTTACTGTATGAGCTGACATGAGCATATACAAGTTTGATATACTGAAGTTTCTAAAGAAACTTTTATAGAATTATCTATAGATAATTCTGTAAAATACATTTGTTGTTAATTTCATTGAGGTGGATAAGGTGTTTTATGTGTTGTTGAATTCAGTTTGCCAATATTGTATTGAAGACTTTTGCATCAATGTTCATCAAGGATATTGGCCTGAATTTTCTTTTCCTGTTGTGTCTCTGCCAGGTTTTGGTATCAGGATGATGCTGGTCTCATAGAATGAGTCCCCCTTTTTATTTTTTTGAAATAGTTTCCAAAAGAATGGTATCAGCTCTTCATTCCTGTGGTAGAATTCAGCTGTGAATCCATCTGGTCCTGGGCTTTTTTGGTTGGTAGACTATTTATTACTGCCTCAATTTCAGAACTCATTATTGGTCTGTTTAGGGATCCAATTTCTTCCTGGTTCGGTCTTGGGAGGGTGTATGTGTCCAGGAATTGCTTCTAGACTTTCTAGTTCATGTGCATAGAGGTGTTTATAGTATTCTCTGATGGTTGTTTGTGTTTCTGTGGGGTCAGTGGTGATTGGTTCAACATTCGCAAATCAATAAATGTGATTCATCACATTAACAGAACTAAAGAAAAAAAAAACACGTGATTATCTCAATAGATGCAGAAAAGGCCTTCAATAGAGGTCAACATCCTTCATGTTAAAAACCTCTCAATAAACTGGGTATTGAAGGAACATACCTCAAAATAATAAGAGCTACATATGCCAAACCCACAGCCAATATCATACCAAATGGGCAAAACCTGGAAGCATTCCCCTTGAAAACCGGCACATGATAAGGATGCCCTCTCTCACCATTCCTATTCAACAGAGTATTGCCCATTCTAGCCAGGGCAATCAGGAAAGAGAAAGAAATAAAGGGTATTCAAGTAGGAAGAGAGGAAGTCAAATTATCTTTGTTTGCAGATGATATGATCCTATATCTAGAAAACCCCATTGTCTCAGCCCAAAAGCTTCTTGAGATGATAAGCAACTTCAGCAAAGTCTCAGGATACAAAATCATCGTGCAAAATTGCTAGCATTCTTATACACCAACAATAGGCAAACAGAGAGCCAAATCATGAATGAAATCCCATTCACAATTGCTACAAAAAGAATAAAATACCTAGGACTATAGCTAACAAGAGAAGTGACAGACCACTGCTCAAAGAAATCAGTGAGGAAACAACAAATGGACAAACCAGTCCATGCTCATGGATAGGAAGAATCAATATTGTGAAAATGGCCATGCTGCCCAAAGTAATGTACAGATTCAATGCTATTCTCATTAAACTACCATTGACATTCTTCACAGAATTAGAAAAAAACTACCCTAAAATTATATGGAACCAAAATAGAGCCTGAATAGTCAAGAGAATCCTAAAAAAAAGAACAAAACTGGAAGCATCATGCTAACCGACTTCAAACTATACTGCAAGACTACAGTAACCAACAGCATGTTACTAGCACAAGAACAGACATATAGACCAATGGAAAATAATAGAGAACTCAGAAATAAGACTGCACACCTACAACCATGTGATCTTTGACAAACCTGACATTAGCAATAGGGAAAGGATTAGGATTCCTTTTTAACAAGTGGTGCTGGGATAACTGGCTGGCCATACACAGAAAATTGAAATTGGATCCCTTCCTTACACCATATACAAAAATTAACTCAAGATAGATTAAAGACTTAAATATAAAACCCAAAACTATAAATACACTAGAAGAAAATCTAGAAATACCATTCAAAACATAGGCATGGGCAAAGATTTCATGAATAAAATGCCAAAAGCAATTGCCGCAAAAGCCAAAATTGACAAATGGGATCTAATTAACCTAAAGAGCTTCTGCACAGCAAAAGGAACTATCATCAGAGTGAACACACAACCTACAGAATGGGAGAAAATGTTTGCAACCTACTCATCTGACAAAGGTCTAATATCCAGAGTCTGTAAGGAACTTAAGCAAATTTACAAGAAAAAAACAAACAACCCCATTAAAAAGTGGGCAAAGGACAAAAACAGACACTTCTCAAAAGAAGACATACATGTGGCCAACAAATATATGAAAAAAAGCTCAACATCACTGATCATTAGACAAATGCAAATCAAACCACAATGAGCTACCATCTCATGCCAGTCAGAATAGTGATTATTAAAAAGTCAAGAAACAACAGATGCTGGTAAGGCTGGGAGAAATAGAAATGCTTTCACACTGTTGGTGGGAATGTAAATTAGTTCAGTCATTGTGGAAGACAGCATAGCAATTCCTCAAAGACCTAGAACCAGAAACACCATTTGACCCAGCAATCCCATTACTGGGTATATACCTAAAAGAATATAAATAATTACAACCCTATTCATAATAGCAAAGACAGGGAATAAACCTAAGTGCCCATTAATGATAGAGTGGATAAAGAAAATGTGATACCTATACACCATGGAGTACTATGCAGCCATAAAAAGGAACGAGACCTTGTCCTTTGCAGGGACATAAAAGGAGTTGGAAGTCGTTATCTTCAGAAAACTAACGCAGGAACAGAAAGCCAAACACCACATATTCTCACTCATAAATGGGAGCTGATTGATGAGAACACATGGACACATGGCAGGGAACAACACACACTGGAGCCTGCTGGGGGTCAGGAGCAGAGGGAGAGCATCAGGAAGAATAACCAATGGATGCTAGGCTTAATACCTAGGTGATGGGATGATCTATGCAGCAAACTACCATGGCACTTGCTTACCTATGTAACAAACCTCCACATTCTGCACATGTACTCCTTAATTTAAAATAAGAGTTGAAAAAACACATTTGTAATATTTTCTACGTATATAAATCTATAATGTTTCTAAAGTATTAAAAATCTATTTTCTTAATAAGTGAAAATATATACCTTATTATGTAAAAGATTTTGATCAAATTTTTTCTGCCCCTGCCCTTCCTGTGATGGACTTTCATGATCAACAAAGTTGAATGCAGAAGGACACTTTTGTCTTCAAAAAAAGTTATTTAAATAAATACCTTCCTCAAATTAAACAGTTTGTAATGGGTTAAAGTTTTCTCTAGTGTTGCTTGTTAGCTTTTTTATATTTGGACTGATTATTTTAATTTCATATAGTTTCTTTTTTTCTGGCAGGTATGTATGACAAACAGATATATTTTTTCTCTCTGCACCTATTTTATGACTTAGCTATTTTAATGAAAAATATATGAGCAAGTGAATTTTCAGACTAGGTACCCTATAAAATTATGTATCATATAAAAATGAATTTAGTGACTTACAGATTAATTCAAATAAGTAGCCTCTAAATTTGTCTATTTATTCATCACTGATCTTGATATGCCTCTCCATTCATTTTGTAAAAGAGAAATGAGTATTTATAAGCTGTAATTTTATCTTTATATGCATCTGCTAGAGGCAATTGTTTACTTAAATAACAGAGAACACAAGTTAGATATGTCAGGCTATGATTTAGCATATCCTTTTCTTCAGAGTCTGTATTAACAGAGATTTGCTATTTTCCATGGTTATTTATCCTTCTTTTTTTGTCATTTATTTTGGGCGCACACTCACCACAGAAAATATTTGCCATATAATCATGAAGAAATACATTACTAATGAATTCTTTTTAATTCAGCCTTCATAAGATCACACAGTAGTAAAATACTTTATTTTCATGATAGCCTAATCAATCACAAGTCGTAAGTGTTCTTTATACCTATATTTAGAACAATGCTATCCTTCCTCTTATTATATAATGAGGTCCAGAGATAGAAACTGTTTTGTACATGAAGATTGGTGATAATCATAGATACATAACTAAAAAAAATGACTTCTACTTAATTGTCAATGAACATAAAACACAATTTTAAAAAATAGTTCTCTTCATTTTGTCAGATTTAAATTGTGAGGATTGAAAAGTCAGTGATGTTAGGCCAGGCGTGGTGGCTCACACCTGTAATCCCAGCACTTTGGGAGGCCAAGGCGGGTGGATCACCTGAGGTTAGGAGTTCGAGACCAGGCTGACCAACATGGAGAAACCCCGTCTCTACTAAAAAATACAAAATTAGCTGGGCGTGGTAGTGCATGGCTGTAATCCCAGCTAATCAGGAGGATGAGGCAGGAGAATCTCTTGAACCCGAGAGGCAGAGGTTGCCGTGAGCCAAGATAGTGCCATTGCACTCCAGCCTGGGCAACAAGAGTGGAACTCCGTCTCAAAAAAAAAAAAAAAAAAAAAAATCAGGGATGTTAGAGAAACTGCAGTTTCACCAGGAATCCATGAATCAGGACTCAGGACTCAGTCCTGGGACAGCCACTGGCCAAAAAGGCTGCCTTGAGCCTGTGCTTCCGCTTTTTAAATGGAAAGAGATAAATTCATAGTTTCTAACAAGAGACCACACCATGAAAATATACTTGAAAAAGCTGGGAAGTCCTTAACTTCATTCAAGTAATATTTAATTGAAACAAGGAAGTGAATTGTTTGTTTCTTTGGACAAAATAGCAAAAACCATAGGGATGCAAACAGATCAGCTAAGATATTAATATATGTAAATATAATTAGCAACACATATAAAAGATTGCACAAACGCAATTAGATAGGGATAATTGCGTGTTGACTGGAATGTTAGAATATTATAATGTTACATTTTTAAGAACTGTGTCATATGCACCTTCTACTTAATTGTCAATGAACATAAAACATAATTTTAAAAAATAGTTCTCTTCATTTTGTCAGATTTAAATTGTGAGGATTCAAAGGTGAGTGATGTTAAGAATCCCCAAAATCATCTAAAAGAATGCTGAAAATTATTTAGATACAGAGAGTTGTGTGATATGCTAAGCAAACTCTAAATAGAACCACGTTTGGTTGATCTATATTCTTGCATCACAGAACAGTGTTTTTACCAAAAAACTGCTTAATCAAAATGCTATGGCTTTTGCTCAGTTTTCATAGTTGTCAATTGATATAGTTAAGCATTTTTAGGCACACAAAATATGGTACCTTGCAGTATCTTATAAACTGTCACTTCACAAATATGGCAAATTATACCAACTTAAGATTTCACCTGTTAATAAAGCAATAGAAATATTTCCTTCTAGCAAAGAAACTAGAACGTGTTACATAAATCATTCTATGAAATTTAGTAGGATTTTTTGGAAGATTCTATTAATATTTCTTAAAACACTACATCAAGAAAATGTGTGCTCAGGAGTGTGAAACTCAGGAAATACTACTGTTAGGACAACTACAAATTCAGTGCTAACTGGAGAACCCCTTTAACTTGTTTAGTCTCTATTACATGCTACTTAATTTACAAGCATTATCACTCATCTATAAAGCAGGTAAGTGAAGGGCCTCACTCACACAGAACATATAGGGTCGAGTTCAAATTCAAATCCACATAGTAGTTTATTTCTACATCTTTGTGCTTTCTTTCCTCTATACTAGAGCAAAACTATTAATATAAGAAGCATACTTTAAAAGCAAAATTATTTTGCTGATTTTGTTAATTTCATCTTACTGCTTTAAAAATCAAATTTTTCGGCCAGGTGCAGTGGCTCACGTCTGTAATCTCAGCACTTTGAGAGGCCTAGGCAGGTGGATCACTTAAGGTCAGGAGTTTGAGATCAGCCTGGCCAACATGGCAAAACCCCGTCTCTACTAAAAATACAAAAAATTAGCCCGCACGTGCCTGTAATCCCAGCTACTCGTGAGGCTATGGCAGGAGAATCACTTGAACCTGGGAGGCAGAGGCTACAGTGAGTCGAGATCGTGCCACTGCACTCCAGCCTGGGTGACAAAGGGAGGCTCCATCTCAAAAAAAAAAAAAAAAAAAATCAAATTTTTCATACACTCTGAAGTTCCTTCTAGCTTTTTTGAGAAGCTTCCTCCTTCATTTACTCCTCTTCCCTGCATCACTAAGCTTCCCCTCCCTCCTGAATGGTTTCAAGCACACCTAAAAGTGTGCTCAGATGCATCCAGTATTAAAATTTCTCAATAAAAAATTGTCTAGGTTTGTTGCTCCAGTACACATACATACCCACACAAACACCCCCTTCCTCGATTCATTCTTCAACAACACACTGACGGCTTCTCCTTCCTCATCTTCACCATCACTGTCAGTGATACCTGGGACTTCATCTTGCCAATTCCAATGGGCATTTTTAACATTTTTCCAATTTCTCAACATATTTGACTACTTCGTCTTGCCTGAAACACTAAAGCAATTTTTGAGAGACTGTCTGCGCTCTTCAAATTTTCCTTCCACCCCAGCTCCTGTTTTTGCTTTTTCTCCTCCTGGGCCTTTGCTGGAGAGCCTCAGAGTTCATTCAGTCCTGAGGTCTGTTCTCTTGTCTGTTATGTTTTCCACATTGAAATACCGCTTAATGACACATACTGTCATATCACTCTCACAGCACTAGACCAAAATAGCGTGCTTACCTGACTTCTTCATTTAAATATCCAATAATTCTTTCAAACCCAACAGGCTCAAATGGAGCTCTTGAACTCCCTTCAAACCTAACAGGCTCAAATGGAGCTCTTGAACTCCACCTTCTATGTACTGGATTCTAAGGTTTTCTATATCACCATTAATGATAGAACCATCTATGGCTTTGCTTTCTCATTTGTTTCTCACCCAAAGCTTACCCTTTAGCGAGATCTTGAATATGTATGCATTTCTTCATCTTCCCTATCAATTTTTACTTCCAGAACCCATCACCTCTGGAATTTTCCTCTGGGTCTTCCTCATCCATCCCCTAGGCAGCACATAAAGTGATAATATAAAAATGTGATTCAAATAATTTCACGCTATTCCACTTTCAGTTCCTTCACTTAATTCTCATTGCATGTAAAGTAAAATCCCAGCTCTTTATTAGGAGCTATAATGGTCCTGAAGAATGTGACCTTCTCCTGTCTTTCCAAATGAAGATATTCCACCTTTTTCTTTGCAGCCAAGCCACTGTCTACACTACCCTTTCTGCTCCTTGATCACATTAAGACTTCTCTGCCTTTGGGATTTGATACTTCTTATCATTTTGGTTGTATCTTTTCAAGTCTGGTCTTTCAGTAAAAATGCTGCCTTCTTAGAGAAAGCGTCTTTTCCAATTATCCTTACTGATGTTTTATTTTCTTCAAATATTAATCATCGTCTTTATCTTGCTTATCCCTTTCCTGTCTTGAATTTTCATTTTATTC
This sequence comes from Homo sapiens, assembly GCF_000001405.40. Taxonomy (NCBI): domain Eukaryota; kingdom Metazoa; phylum Chordata; class Mammalia; order Primates; family Hominidae; genus Homo; species Homo sapiens. The sequence continues at coordinate 180,318,468 of NC_000004.12, read as the reverse complement.
ATTCTGTTATGTTTCCCACACTGGAATGCAACTTCAATGCGGGGTCTTATATCCCTGTTATATTCCTGTGCTTAGTACGCACTCAATTAATAATTGATTTAAATGAATAAATAAATCTTGAAAACATTAACTAAAAGCAAACGTTCTCCTTTTACGTCTGTTATTTCTTTGCTTGTTTAACCAGTTTGTTTGTAGGTTTTCAAGAACATTAAGTAACTAAAATGTATGTGAAGACCTAAGACTAAATCCTGGCCATGGCAGTTCGGATGATTTCACGGGAGCAGCAATGCAGCCACAATGGGAAAATCATAAACATAAACAATGCAAAAGGGGTATATGCTAGTGGTGAGTGTGTTGTTATACTGTTTGTCTGACGTTGGAGCATCGTGGGGAGGAGAGAAAAAAAGGAAGATCAGTAACTCTAAAGAAAGATCACCAGGCTACTGAAATATGCAATGGCTTAACCTCTTGAGGATAAAAGTAAACCTTCTTCTCAAGCCATCATGGAGCACTGAAAAGCTAACAAGCCAAAAGTGTAACAACTGTCAGAGGTTTTGTATATGGTATATATTGTGGTACTGTAACATTTATAAACTCTTATTTGAGTCTCTTAATTCATTTAAGTCTGTTAAAAATAGTTTGAGTATGTGAAAAAAGTAACTCAAACACCAAAAGATTGGGAACAATGGTGCTCAATGCTTGGTAAAGATCAATGGAGAATGTCTGTTTCTCTAAAACTATTCTGATTTATGTATAAAAAAATCACTTAATCTCCTTGCCCCACATAATTTATAAAATACAAGCCATTAAGTACTTAGGATGTTGGATTTTGGTCCATTATGAGCCTCTTATCAGGAGACAGTTTCTGTTCAGATTTCAGTGGCTCAGTATTAAGACATTAACAAGTGTGTGTACTGATTAGATTAACAATATAAGGAGAGTATGCTATCAAATCCTAAATTGCATAATGGTCATGTTTGTAAAACAAACAAGGAGAAAATAAAAATACATGAAAAAAATCTACATTTGCCAGGTGAGATGAAAGATAAACATATTTTTATAGCCAACTGAAGAAAACATCCACAAAATAAACACATTTAAAGAAAAGTTGTTACCTGTTCTTCTCCTAAGCTCCTAAATACAGCAATACTGTGCAAAAATTAATAAAGTAAATTTTTATAAGAATATGCTTTTCTCTTTGAAACAACATTTTGTAAGTATTAATGATAATGTATCTTATGCCAAAACTCAAAATTTATTAATGACATATAATTGTGAAAAAGGCACCACTATAGAGGCAGAGAACACATCTGTGTTGTCAAAGGTTAGAGACTGACTACAAAGGAGCAGTAGGGGACTTGTTGGGGGCTACTGAAATATTCCGTGGCTTGATAGTGGTGATAGTTAAATGACTGTATTTGTGACAATTCCTTGGGCTATACAACTAAAAAGGGTGAATTTTGGTGCATGTAAACCAATACACCTTTGTTAACAAAACAATCACAGGAAACAATAAAAAAGAATCAACTATAAACCAGCATGCAGTCTTAGAAAAATTAATTACATTTTAAATATATAGAAAAAAATAAAAATTGGAAAGTATATATAAATTGCCTTTGGCTGTACTTTCCTCTAATCTCTACATTTTCTTACAGCCTGTATGAGCAACTGTTATAAGTGCAATAATTCCAGTTAATAATTTTCTATATAAATGACAACTAAAATCCTCATAAAGAAAAAATTACATAATTTCTAATTTTAAGAGTGTATGACTTGTCAAAATCCAGATTTGTCAGAATATCTGTAGATATTTATTTTAATCATCTATTTTCTTAGTCTACAAATGCAGGGTATATATAATGAATAAAAATATAGTCTATGCCAAATGCAAAAACTTCAGAAAGAACACATTCATTCTGCAGATAAAAATGAATATTCATGTACACTTTTTGAAAATAATCTTGACTTTGTCTTCAAAATTCAAATCAATGAGGCTAATTCAAAATTCTATCACAACTCACATAGGTATTTTATATAGTTGGTTTGTTCAGAAAAATTCGACCATTTGATGATTCAGTTTGGTCACTTAAAATGGTATTTTCGTAGTTTTAAAAAGTTTTTGAATTAAGAACATTTTATGGTATTTTTATGATACATTTCATGGCATGTCTAAACTCTTCACGCAAATATAATATTTTTGAAGAGTCCAGTGCTCGACTGGTGAAGAGTCTAGGGAATACTGTTTATGATATTTGCTGACTTTGGGATCATGGGGGAGCTTTGTAAGTTTGATCAAAATGCTATCAAGTTGAACTTCTAGGAGAACACTTGCTGAGAAGGTGCCTTAGAAAACAGGCTTATAATATAAAATTAAAGAAGGAAACTTCTATAATATGTAATTCTTTCATATAGAACACTTTATGAAGTTAAAACTTTGGCATGATGTTCACTTAGTCAGTGAATAATCTCTCATTATCTCCTTTGTTTTCATCTTTGAAAGCTCTGTATATGTTTCTAGATTGTACTCTCCAGGGCAGGGATCATATCCATCTTGTTCATTATTGGTTCCCTGTTCCCACCATAATGTGTAGGACTCAATAAATGGTTGGTGCATGAATAAATAATAAATTATCTCAACACTAAAAATAATTAGAAACTTTTAGTATTACTGGCTTTTTGAGTATTTTTCTTTTAGAATAAATTTATTGAAGATAGCTCTTCTATTCTATTTAGGTTTTGGGGTTTTTTAGTATTTAGTAGAAAGTTTTAAAACCTGTGTCAAACGATGATGGTATATCATTAAGCTATATATTTGGTTACATTTTACACATGGGAAATCCTTTAGTGAAAGAACATATTACAAGTCAGAGTTTAGACTAATGATAATCCAGAAACATTTGTGATGGAGTTCCTCAGTGCACAACTATGTTCCTCAACTAGAGAAATAAAGATATGTAACTCCAGAAAAGCTTATATTATGACAGGCCCCACAGAGTGCAGAAACACACATAATCAAAGATAGAGAAAGAGAGGGGGCCATGAGAGAGCACACTCAAATTGAATTTGTTCTAGTGTTTCTAGAGAATTCTATAAAACTCCTACCATCCACATAGTAAACATACATTATATTTTGGGCTAATATTGACTATGAAACACCATTTTGAATTCATCATAGAACTGAAACCAAAATCATACACTCTAAAAAAATCCCAGTAAGCACTTCCAAATAAGGGATTGACTAAAATAGATGAAACTATCTAACCGTAACCTATTTTAGTACACACATCTGTACATCAAACATTTGCCTCTACGATTTTCGTGCTGAAAACATTTTCAAATCTTTGACCCTTGAGATTTCTGTACTGCTTAGCATGCAGCTAAATTGCGTTCAAACAACATTTGCATATGTAGTGTGATTTGGTAGACTAAACCCCGAGATGCTGCTCTCAAAAGAACAAGCTCTGTGTTTACTTGTGAATTTACTGACTTCATGCACTTTAAATATGAAAAATGTGAAAAACTCTCTTTTGGGGGTTTGTGAGAGTAGTTTCCTATTCTTATAAGCTGAATATGTAAATATAAGAACTTTTTTTCCTTCTTTCTCTTCCATGTTGAAGTTATATACAGGTACTGAATGATAAAACAAAAGTAAGCAACCCTGTGGATTCACCAACTTTTGGAATAAGCTTCATTTTCTACAATTTTTCAGGTGAGAGGATGAAACAGAAGATACCCCGATGATCAATTAATTAGATATTTATAATCAAACTGTAATCTTGAAATCTATAATCTTCAAAGTAAAATAAGTCTCTGCTGAATATGCCTATGAATACAAAGAAGTCTAAGTAACAATCCTGGCTAATTAGGAAATTAGGTTTGACTTAGTGAAGAAACAAAACCTACCTATGAAATGTTAATTTAATAGTATAATCTAAATAAATAAGAAATGCAGAGAGACATGTCTTCAATAACTCAGAGTATGGTGATATTATTTGGAATTTGGTGGAGGTAAAGTTTTACTGGAAGGTAACCTTTTACTAAAATATGGAAAGAATTGTATGAGAGAGACAGGGGCAAGGCAAGGTGCAAATTTCAGCTGTGGAACATTGTAGAAGCAGACACTTGGAGACTGTAAATACAAGTAAGTGTGTTTTTGAGGAAAGACTAGGAAATTATGGCTGAAGAAGTACTGTTTCATGGCCAATGGTCTTGACTGTTTCACTTGTAAAGGCAACGTAAAAGCAACCTATTTTCCTACTAAATTATACAAGTTAATTTCAGAAGCCGAGTCATAAAGGTGACTTTATAAAGTTTATAAAGGTGAAGATGAGAGCAAAAATCTTGTGTGTCATTCTAGCAAATGCTTTTCTTCTCTATCAATCTGAGAACCTGTGTGCGTAAGTGAGCCATGGGTCGGACGGTCAGGGCATCTGCCTTGCAGATCAGAGTGCATCATAAAAGATGATGAAGATGACCGTAATGACCCAAGTAGATGAAGAGACCTGGGAAGCAGATTTTGTGATTGTCTAATTCTTTCAACTGGTTTGACAATGGTATTGATCAAAATTTGCTTTGATAAGAAGTGTGAGAATTTCCATCTCTGTCTGTTGGTCTGTCTGTCTGTCTACGTCTTTCCATTCTCCAGTATCTTTAATAGCCAACTTTAAAGGGCAGAGAAAGATCCACTTGTGTTGGGTGTCACATCAGTTATTATTGCTCAAGCCAATATTTTGTTATGCGGTAGCTAAAATAAGGATCAGCCATTTTTATTTTGAAAAACTCTTCATGTCTGGGTGTTTATATGTATGTTGTAAGAATACAGTCTGTACATTTTCTATTCATCTCATAACCTAAATTAGTTATGATAAATTTCAATTATCTTGGCTAAAGAAAGAGTTTCTTACCACATCTACAGTGAAGGAACTCACTCTATTCCTCAATGGCCAAGTAAGATGGAAGTTTCAAGATGGAGAGTTTGAGTTTCAAGATCAAGGGTTTGTGGGGCCAGGTTGATTATTGATGTAAATTTATATCTACATGTTAGATGGATGGTAATCTCTATCTCTGTATATGTTAATCTCTATCTTCAAAGTTGGTCTTGTCTAAAAGTATGACATATACCAGTTAATATTTATCATGTACTTACTATATGCCAGGAAATATACTAAGTAATTTTATTATTTTATTAATTTACTTCATTAATTATTTTAATTTTTCAAAGTATGCTTTCTCTCTCTTTATACAGTTATACATACATATACACACATATATACACATGCACATATATCCATGTACCTGTTTACGTCTTTCCATTCTCCAGTATCTTTAACAGCCAAGTTTAATTAATTTACTTCATTAATTATTTTAATCCTTGAAAGTACACTTTCTCTTTATAAATACAGGTATACATATATGCACACACATATGTACATATATACATATATATGATAAAACAAAAATCTAGATGTTTGTGTATATATGTGTATGTGTACATATGTGTGTGTATGTATGTATACCTGTATTTATAAAGAGAAAGTGTACTTTCAAGGATTAAAATAATTAATGAAGTAAATTAAAACATGCATATAGATATATATCTTATTTATAAATATAAATATGAAAATAAATTTATAAATGTACAAATACATTTATACATAAATATATAAGAAATACAGATATATATCCTTTGATGATAACATCAGAGAATATATACATATATATGAATATCTGTATGTATGTGCGTGTCTAATGTATGTATATATAGCTAATGAAGAATAGAGAGGTTAACTAACTTTGCCAAAGTCCAAAATACAGGATATATAGAGCATATTTTAAAACAAGAGAGTCAGGATTCAGAGCCAGTACCCTCACCCAAGGACACAATCTACTTCTTAGTCCAGATTCCAGTATTTCTTAAACGGTAAAATTAGGTGACTCAACTATGGTTTTTATATCACTCATAAATGAGATAATTTATGTTTGAAAATGTGTGGAGTGAACATGATGGGAAATAGGAGGCAGGGAAAATATATATCCCTTTACAGGTGGATTTCAAAAACTAATATATATAAAGTATTAACTTAATACAGAGAATTATTTGATCTTATCATTTTATTATATTATCAGTTATTATTAATTCCCCATCAATTATTACAACGGCTGTTCTATAAATGTAGTATGGTATGTTTCCATCCCTTCTCCCAGTTTAACTTAACTTGTGCAGGAAAGAATGCCAGGGCCTCTTAACCTGTAAATATCACCCTCCACTAAAATGTTTCTGAGGAGTTTAGAGAAAATATTTCCACCTTCCATACTAAATTCCACTGGGGATTTGGGAATAACATTTCTCCTTTTATAGGCCTCAGTTATTTTAGCTATAAAATTGTACGACATGATACTAAGATCTTCCAGTTGCTTATGCTATGTTTAAAATACGTCAGTGGCTTCTCTTTTTTTGCAGCAAAAAAAAAAAAGAGGAAAAAACAAATCTTTGACATGGCACTAAAGCCCTGCACCATCCTGTGTGGGCCATTCCCAGTCTGTGTGATGCTTTTTGCTCCACATCTCTTCTTTCGTTTTTTAAAAAGTGTCAGCTCCTCCTAGCCTGAGGGCCCTGCACATGCAGGTCCCCTTGCCTGGAAAGCTCTGCTCTCCTTCTTCCCAAACTTGCTCAGATAATTTCTGCATACCTTTCAGTGCTCTGTTCAAAAGGTATCAAGGAAGCCTTCTCAGACCCCTGTACATTCTCTACCCCGTGCTTCTCTTTCACAACATGCACAGCAATTAAAATCACTGAATTTGCAGTTAGGCATTTAACATCTGTGTCTTCAAACAGAATGTAATGGATCTTATTAGTTCATTTCTACATCTTCAGCATTTAGTACTATTTGCACAGAGTAGGCACTCAACAAACATTTATCAAATAATTGAATAAATGAATTTTTAAAATCCCTGTGATTGAAAGAGGCATTTTCCCAGCTTTCTTTATAGGGGCAATAATTCTTACAAAAGCAATAATTCTCCCTTTATATTTTTACTTCTATCTACTATCAAATAGATAGTTGTCAAGAGCATTTATTTCATATCTATCTCATTTCTAAAATATATTTTAACAGAAGTATTAAATGCTTCCCTTAACTGGCAAAACTATCAACAATCTCCTATGCTTTGGCATAAAAGAAAAGCAATTTCAACTCTCAAAAAAGTATCTCCTTTGCAAAAGCAAGCTTATATTGAAAGGTTAGAAAACTTCACCTATTCTCAAAAAATTTTATTATAAAAGTTATATTAAAAATAATAGGCCAGGCACGGTGGCTCACACCTGTAATCCCAGCACTCTGGGAGGCCCAGGTGGGCGGATCTCTTGAGGTCAGGAGTTCAAGACCAGCCTGGCCAACATGGCGAAACTTTGTCTCTACTAAAAAAAAAAAACAAAAACAAACAAACAAACAAAAACAAAAAATAGCATGGTGTGGTGGTGTATGTCTGTAATCCCAGATACTCAGGAAGCTGAGGCAGGAGAATCACTTTAACCTGGGAGACAGAGGTTGCAGTGATCTGAGATTGTGCCACTGCACTCCAGCCTTGGGCGACAGAGTGAAACACTGTCTCAAAATAAAATAAAATAAAATAAAATAAAATAAAATAAAATAAAATAAAATAAAATAAAACAAAATAAAATAAAATAATGAACACAACCAGCTCCAAAATTAAGTACCTGCTTATTACAAAGGAAAAAGTTAAAGAGAAACAAGTTTATACGTTAACGTCAGCATAAACCATATATTACATACATTATTTCTTATCCCTTATGCAGTGGAGAGCTGAATGCCCTGTTTTATCCTCATACATGACAGAACTAGTAGCACTTGGCTAATTTGCACTTATATTTAAAAATCCACAGGACTCATTTTCATTTTGAAGTCTGTCTTTGCAGTTTGCCAATGTGAAAATTAGCAAATTTCTAGCGCATATTTCTTCCTCCTCAAAAACACATATATTTTTCTTCTTTGTTACCAGCTGAATGTGTGTAATGTGAGACTTTCGTTCCCTAGGAATTCAGTATGACATATCCACTGGGGGCTTTTACACAAGGAACCAGGACTGGAAGCCTGAGGCATCAGGCATCTAAGCGAAGTCACCACTGCTCACGGGCAGAGGCGACATAGGGCAGCCTCCCACACCAGCCCACGCTTTGACGTGCTTACCAACCACGTTTCCACTGTGGTTATCATCTCCGCATCTTGTCTGATCTGGGTAAAGCTGTAATAATTAGAACACCTCTATTAAAAATTATTAGGTAAGGTGACTCCTCTGTTTTCAGACTTTCTCCTCCATGCTTTGTCCAGCCTTGTGTTTCCATAGGAGGCAAAATGAGCTCTCTTTATTTTAAAAGTAGGCATAGCATACTCAGGCTCTTTCCTTTCCTCTTGTTCTCTCTTTTTTAATGAAATTTTCTCATGCTTTCCCATTGGACGCCATTCAGCCATATTTCCTGCTGTATCCTTTCTCACCAATAAAACAGAATGCTCATCGGAAATGTTCAAAATGTGAGAAACAGGAAGTAAAGCCAAATGCAATAATCAAAGTGAACATGCACGCACTGCCCAGGCTGCCAGCATCTAGGGGCAAAGTAGTTGAGATAGCCAAGGGCATATTATTAATGTTTTATCAGAACTTCTGCTGTTTCAACCAAACGGCAGGGAATTCCACTTGGAGTACTTCCTCTTAACAGCGTTCATAATTGAATAGCCAACCCATGTCGAGCATTTCAAGCAAAGAGATCTGTCAGTAGTTTTGATATCAAATCTGGATGCTCTCTTTATTAAAATAGATACGCTCCTAGTCCTCCCCAGGTGAAGACCTTTTTTGAGAGAATGCATATCGCAAAAACAGAAAACTTCTTGTTAACTAAGAGAACACACTGCATCTGACCACTGATTGATGGTTTTATAATAATGGCACATAGGATTCAGCCTTATTTGTTTTGCTTTGCATTGTTATCCGTATTCAATCTGTTTCAAGGATACTCAACATTGTTGTAGCTTTGGGATACAAAATCTACAGACCGTAACTTCAAGTCATTTGTCTATGTCATTAGAGCCATACACAAATGGTTAATCAGGAGATCATGAATGGCTATGATTTATTATTCAGCACAAAAGCATTTCTTTTTTGGTAAATTGATTCACTAGAAGTTTACTTCACTATTATTATTTTTTAAAAGAGCTACTATTTATATGGTAGTTGTGGACTATATAACAGTACTGCTAACATTGTATAACAAGTTGAGCAAAGGATCAGGTAGATTTTATTTTTATTGAGGTTTTAACAAATCCTTATCTTTTTCAAGAAGGAGCATGGTAAACTTTTTCCATTGTGCTTTTTTTTTTCAAAACCTTCTTAAAAAAACTGCAAACTTAGGTTTTCACATATAAGTGCATCTTTTCTTTAACAATTATTTATCATGTATTGTAAAAATAAAGGTGCTTTACAAATAATATAACACAAGATAGTATTTAGGAAACTTTAAAGAGAATGTAAAACAAAGTCAATTCATTAATTCTTCATTCTCCAAAGAGTTATCAGCACATGGTAATTTTTCTCCAGCTCATCAAAAAGTGATGTTTGCTTAAAGGTTTATAGTTGCTCATCTAATTATACTCTTTGTGACTGCATTTGGAAAAGGATTCAAAAAGAGATCACTGACCAAAAAGAATAAGCTTAATACAGATTTTAAAATATTATTATTTCAGTACTGAGTGGTCTTTGTATGAAACGAAGGCTCAAGCACCCCCTGCTTTAGGAAAACTAATAAAGAGTAAAACAACAAATTGAAAATAGAAAGAAATAAAAACACAATGAATCCTATTTTCTACATTTTTTAGCTAACATATTCATTGTTTTGATTGAAGAAAATGTCTTTATTATATGTAATAGCATTTGCTTTTGGAGTAAGGTATAATCAGTTTAATTATTAAAAGTTATATCTAGGCCTGTGAATATAATTTTAGTTAAGAAATAGGCTGAAATATAAAAGCCAAATTATTGAAAGCAATCTTACCATTTGTGTGTACGTGTGTGAGCGCAGACATATATTTCTAAAAGAAAATGAGTATGTAATCATTAGACACTAGAATGAAACAAGTTTTCAGAGGAGCTGAATGAAGTAAGGTCGTACAACTTTTACAAGCCAGTTATAGGCAATTATAGAAATGCAAAAAGACATTTGCAGGTTTTATTAAAAATTCTTTGCTTTGATTTACAGGGCACATTTATATATTTGGGTATTTGTGAAAATATTTTGTTAATTATCTCAAATTAGCAAGTATTGGGTATACATATATTCAGAGATCCCTTTCCTTAAGGACATTTATGAGTACTGTACTGCTTTAATGATTAATATTATACACCAAGAATATCAGAAAATGTTGCACAGAAAATATTGCAAAACTTTACATTTCGAATGTTGATTTTTTTCTCTATGAAAATGTTGATTTTTCTCTATTTTCTCTTTATTGTGAGTGTTTTTTTTCAAATTGTTGCATGTATTTTATCTCTACAAACAGTAATTCCTCAATGTCTCCATCAGAAAGGTGTGTCTCCTGGTGTGTATATGTAGAAGAATGATAGTCCTATCTAACTGTCTGTCAATCTTGTGAGAGTGTGAAAATGAAAAAGAGAAAGCCAGGGGTCACTAACTACCTCTCACAGAACTGGCCTGGCTTTTAAGTTACAGATTCAGGCAGTCTGGAGCTGCGGGAAATTAATAGGCAGCAGATGTAAGCAGGCAAGGGGAGGTCTGTTATGGAGAATGAGTGATGGAAGACTTAATGGTGTCCCGATCACCTATAATCTGGCAACAGGAAGAGGTAGACAAAGCAGAGAGAGAAAGTGCCCTGGAGCCTAGAATTTGCCACTTCATTGAAGGAGATCCATTGGAGCAACAGATCCACAAGTTACTCAAAATGTCACTCATGAGTCTCTGAATAGGGTGATATAGTGGATTGAGTTCTGTGCCCCAAAAAGATCTGTCCCTGTTCTACCCCTCAGCACCTATGAATGTGACCTTTTTTAGACATAAGATCTTGGCATGTCTAATTGAGTTAATGTAAGTTCATTGTGGATTAGGGTGAGCCCTAAACCCAATGACTCATTTATTCATAAGAAATCGGTTGGATATTCTTTGCTCACATGCGGCCAACAAACATATGAAAAAAAATCTCAACATCATTGATCATTATAGAAATGCAAATCAAAACCACGATGAGATATCATCTCACACAAAAGCAGAATGGCTATTACTGAAGAGTCAAAAACCAGCAGATGCTGGAGAGGTTGTGAAGAAAAAGGAACCATTTTACACTGTTGGTGGGAGTGTAAATTAGTTCAAGCACTGTGGAAGACAGTGTGGGGATTCCTCAAAGATCTAGAGGCAGAAATACCATTTGACCCAGCAATCCCATACTGAGTATATACCCAAAGAAATATAAATCATTCTGTTATAAAGATACCTACACACGTAGGTTCACTGCAGCACTATTCACAATAGCAAAGACATGAAATCAACCTAAATGCTTATCAGTGATAGTCTGGATAAAGAAAATGTGGTACATGTATACCATGGAATACTATGCAGCCATAAAAAGGAATGAGATTATGTCCTTTGCAGTGACATGCATGGAGCTGGAAGCCATTATCCTCAGCAAACTAATGCGGGTACAGAAAATCAAATACAGCATGTTCTCACTCATAAGTGGGATCTGAATGATGAGAACACATCAACACATGGTGGAGAACAACATTGGGGCCTGTCCCAGAGGGTGGGGAGTGGGAGGAGGGAGAGCATCAGGAAGAATAGTTAATGGATGCTGGGCTTAACATCTAGGTGATGGGATGATCTATGCAGCTAATCACCATGGCACATGTTTAACTATGTTACAAACCTCCACATCCTGCACATGTACTTCTAAAATTAAAACTTGGTAATAAAAAAAAGGGAAACAAATTTGAAGTTGCAAAAAAAGTAAAATAAGTGGACATGCAGAGACACACATACAGGTAAGAAGGCTCCTGAAAGAGGCAGAGATTGGAGTGACACAGCTATAAGCCAGAGAACACCAAGGATCACAGAAGCCATCAGAAGCTAGGAAGAAGCAAAAGATTCTTTCCTAGAGCCATCAGGGAAAACATGGTCCTGCCCATACCTTGATTTCCAACATCCAGTGTCCAGGACTGTTAGACAATAATTTTTTGTTAAGACCTCGTTTGTGGTACTTTGTTATGGCAGCTTAGGACCTACATAAGTATGTTTTCTGTAATAATTCCTAACTACACAACTGTTTTTTTTAAGTACTAGGTTAATGGAGGCAGATATTGCTGAAAGTTTCTGTGTTTTTGACTATATGCAGAAATAAAACAAGATCTGGAGTGAGATTGTCTCTTACGTAGTTTATTCTAACTATAAATATATATTACACTTTTGATTTACAATAAAATATAGTTTAATTCTGGTTTGTCTTTGGGTAAAAATAGTCTATACTGCATTATTAAATTTTAATGTTAAGAGTTTAATTACAAAATTCAGTCTATATAATTCAATATATTGAATTTAAATTTATATATAATTTCTTCATACAACATGAAATGTTAGAGTTCTATTTTCATTTGGACAAAAGATTAATATTTTTTTCTTTCAATAAAAAACTATAAAGAGTGAAAAATAATTCCTCTGTGCTGACTTATCCAGGTACAGAAATCTCTTGATGTATATTTCCATATACAGTTCTGGTTACAAAAGTCATAGAGATTAGGGCAGGTGTAGAAATCCAGGCCAAAAACCAATGTCCCAGGGTTGCTTCACTGAGAATTCCAAAATGTCAGATGCAGTTATATGTGAGGTCAAACATTTCATAGTGCAAAGACTTTTAAATCCCATGTTATCAACTTTGAAGTTTTCCATTTATTAATTCCCTTTATAATCAGTTTTAATAAGAAGTTGACTATACCTTATTAAGAGAGTTTCATTTTTCATTTATCCTATTTTCCAAGGTAAAAACAGTCACACTAACAATAATCTACATTTAAAAGATGCATTAATCATAGAGAAATGATATGTTTGCTTATGAAGAGAAAAATACTTCTGTTTTATACTTTTCTGATTGTGAAAATTATTTTTATATACCTTTGATATCAAATGAATTAAAAATATTTCATTGGACATCTTCTGTTTTTGGAAAAAAATCAGCAAAATGACAATAAAACTTTATGCACAAACAAACCTAGCCTTAAAATTTCTAAGGATAAACCATCATTCTGTCCAATATATAATTATGTTTTCTTGTGATGAGCCAAAAGCCGCAAGTAACTTGAGAGTATCAGTTTAAATCACAATGACATATATGATGTGCCTCAGCTATGTTTCCATCCTTAACCACATCTTAATAGATCTAGAACTCATTTTATCTTTTTTTCACATCAATTGAATTTCCTTTTGTATTTACTAGATGAGGAATAATAGCTTATATAAATTTCATTGACTATAAAAGTTGTCCTTGGTTTGAAATTCATTTTAAATGGGAAATACAATGTCTCAGTGATTAACTACAATGCAACAAAGAGCTTGGAAATAACACAATATGGCCTAATTGGATATATAGTAAATATCTGGCCAAAGAAAGTAAAACAAACAAATGAAAAAATAGCAAAAAAACCAAAAAATAGTTTCTACTGCACATTGCAACATTTATACAGGGTTTCAGAAATTCTGTTCTAGCTTTTTTTTTTGGCTTCATTTCTCAGTCTTATGCACAATGTGCTGATGCGTGTCATTCCTGAGAACTTGCTAGACCTATTCTTTAATCTCATGATCACAGTCAAAAGCACACTTCGAAAATTTTGGCGATAATAGAAGCAGATAGCACAGTACCAATGGATCTGCTGAATTAATAATGAGAAAAAGAAGTAACACCACAAAGTTTTCAGTTCCAGGGTGCACAGCTAAAGGACTAATGCAATGTAGTCATTTTGTGTCTCATTTAAATACACAAGTCTGTTTCTATCTTTAATCTTCTAATTTCAGGAAATTAGAAGTAAAACGCCCCTCATTCATTACAGGTACAGAATGATCAAAAGAATAGAAATTTTCATCACAAAGCTAATTGCATTGTCAAATGACCTCATACATAATGAATCATTAAAAATGATCTATTCTGTAATAATTGTATGCTGCTAAAGGTTGAAATAATTTTAACATGTAGGAAGAGAATTGTAATTAAAATAAATTCCAGCTTTACATTGCATTTGCCAACTATGAAATTATGAGATATTTGAGTCTTATAAACTTGATCTAATAAAAATATTGATATGACATAAACACTCTGAGACTGATATGAACCAAACTTTCAGAATACCATCAACATTGATATTGGGTAATTAGCTTTTTCAGATCACTGATCTCTAATTACAGTTGCTCAACAAAAGTTATTTCACTCCCAGAGAATCAAGTATCAAGCAGTGGAAATCAAGTTATTTCCTTCATGATTCCAATAAAGACTCTCCCATCATTTTTTTTTTTTTTTGCAAATTCAAAAAAATTCAATTTACCTATGCCTGTATAAATTAATATGAGAAATAAAATCTCCAGGTCACAGTACTGTCGAGTTGAGATTCAGCCATTTTTCCATAAAGAGCAAAAATAAGTTCTGGAATACAGTTACCATAAATAGGGATGAATCCAAACAGAACAAGATCACGTTCTATTAACTCCTGAGAATTCATGCTAACCTCATACTTGGAAGTGAAGTTAAATTATTATAAAACCATAAGATAAAGATAAAATAATGGATAGTATATGATATACAAGATCATGAGGATACAAAGTATTGGTAAATCATCAATTCTCAGCAGTAAAAGTTGGTGAGTGAGGGACTGTCACACAGAAATTGCCTAATAATCACATTGTATCCAATCAAGGTGAGATTCTGTAATCATGAAGAGCCTGCAATTGTAAGCATGTATTTTCCAACTGAAGATATTCCTGATCATGATGAAGTGTGATTGCTATTACTGTTTTACGTTGAATCAGAAAGTATACAGTGATTATGCTAATAATATCATTTTAGGTATCAGAGCAGAGTGCATGTTTCTCAAAACCTATTCCCAAATATCAAGGTCATTCCATTAAAGATGACCTTGAGCAATGAAGCAGCAGACAAAGGCAGAGGAAAACTCCGACTCCTCTTGGTTTGTGGGGTTGACCAACGCAAGTGTTTAGCAGCCCAGGACTCATTCAGCCAGCAATAGTCTCAATAGGAGAGGTATCTCAAACAGTCAAGGACATGAAAAACGGCATTTTTCAAAGGCCAGAAGACATCATTTAACCTAAAGATTTTTAAGTAGTGGACAGAAACAATTCTTACTAATAATTCGTATTATCCAGATTAGAAATGGATTGAGTTTCACAGTTTGTTAATGAATTGTTTCAATTTAAGAAAAAAATTTACCACTAAAACAACATTTCAATAAATTCCTAGGATACGCCACAACATCTTATTTGAACTAGGATGTAGGACTTAAGATACCATTGCACAGTTTTTTGTGTGTTTGTTTTAGAGATAGGGTCTTGCTCTGTTGCCCAGGCTAGAGTGCAGTGGTGAGAGCATAGCTCACCGTAAACTGGAACTACCGGGCTCAAGCCATCCTCCTACCTCAGCCTCCTGAGAAGCTGGGACTATAGGCACATGTCACCACACCTGACTAATTTTTATTTAATTTATTTATTTATTTTTGAGATGGAGTATCACCCTTGTTGCCCAGGCTGGAGTGCAGTGGTGTGATCTCGGCTCACTGCACCCTCTGCCTCCCAGGTTCAAGTGATTCTCTTGCCTCAGCCTCCTGAGTAGCTGGGATTACAGGCATGCGCCACCACACCTGGCTAATTTTTGTATTTTTTTTTTTAGTAGAAATGGGGTTTCACCATGTTGGCCGGCCTGGTCTCTAACTCCTGACCTCAGATGATCCGCCCACCTTGGCCTCCCAAAGATTACAGGCATGAGTCACCGTGCCTGGCCCTAATTTTTGTATTTTTTCTTTTCTTTTTTAGAGGTGGGGGTCTGGTTATGCTGCCCAGACTATCTGAAACTCCTGGACTCAAGCAATCCTCCCATGTCAACCTCCCAAAGTGTTTGGATTACAGGTGTGAGCCACCGTATCTGGCCCTCCCAGTTTTGAATTTTTAAGAATAAACTAAACCAAATCAAAACAAAATACAAAACTTTCCTATTTTTAAAAATACACACACAGGAAACACACAAACACAAACAAATGGTTATGTCATAGCATGTTTATTCAGGGAAAAGGCTCATCAAAATCTCATTGTATCTTCATCTTTTGCACCTTAGTCTTCACTGCAGTGGTGCCATCACCATTTCCTCCAACTTCCAACCCTTTCCTGCCTCCATTATACTTGCATATGTCATATCCTCTATTTGTATAATTATTTCCCACTTTTTACTCGAAAACTCTTCACTCACCCTAAAAAGTTAGATCTACCCACTCCCTGATACCATCTTCCTCAGCAATAAGTAGTATGCTTCACAATTTATCTTTTATATGGTTCTCTCTTTCATTCAATTGCCAGATCTTTTAGGTAGGGCAGATACCATATTCTCACTGTTTTCAGTATCTCAAGCACTGAAATCAGCGATGCTTCCCTCTGAATTTGGTCCTTGAATGAAGGTCGAGTAAATAATTGTGTTCTCCAAATTGCAATCAGGAAGATATATATTTATATAACTTTTAAAAGCTTTGAAATGGATTAAGAATTTCAGAAGCTAACAAAAATAGAGGTAAAGCAATGTGGTGTGTTTAAGGGGTGGAAAAAAATGCAAAAAGTAAAACAACTAGATAACGTGTGAAGTTTCAGAATCTTATAAAATGACAGGCAAATAACTAGAAAATTATGAATTAGATGTGTCGATCTGAATATATCAATGAACTTCTTCAGAAATAAATCAGTTAGGGCAATGATTCCATTTCTTCTAGGCTAAGTGCTAATAATCAATATTCTGTACAAAATAGAAGGACTGGGTGCTGGGAATAAGGAAAAGAACTAGTGAAATGGGAGATGGCATATTTTTTACATGAAAAGGCAAAAAAAGTGTATATATCAGATTATGAAAAAATACCTCTGATATCTAAGTTTGCATGGCATTAACCATAGAGATGTAATAACTGTATTAAAAAGGCCAAAAACATTAGGAATACTTAAGTCTTAGGTATTGGTCTTGGAGACACATATTTAAGTCTTTCAATTTTTCATAATTCATACTAGAGGCATGAAAAACACTTTGTTTTAGGTTTTTATTCATAACATATGGGAACATGTGATAATATTATCTTCAAAGTGGCAGGTAGAAATGTATAATTCCTTAAAAATGCATACATAATAGATGATTGGATTGGCTTTAAAAATAATGTATCATTTATTTATATAGCAGAAAGATAACATTAATAGAAAAAAAATGAATCTTTCTAAGGAGTTCTAGAGACTTCAGCAGTTCAGGGTTTTTAAATACTAAGATTTATAATATTTAAAATTCATTACTTCTATTAAATGTTTATTGGGTGTCTAATATGTGTCAGGAGCTCTTCTAGGAGCTGGTGGTACAAAAGAGAAAAAAATGTAGAAAAAAAAGTCTCTGCTTTTACATAGTTAGTACTCTTATGTATAAAGATTAAACAGTTGAGAAAAATGGGTGTTTCTTAGGCTATTAGGAGGGGAGATCAAGAGAGCATGGTGTAGAGCTATCACTATCAGAGCCCTGAATATAAAGCCAACAGACAACCTGGGCTGGACTACCAGCTTCACTGCATTCTAGCTGTGTGAAGTGGGGTGAAATTCATCAACTCTCTGTGTCTCCATTTTCTAGTCTATAAAATGGACATAATGAAATATCCACTATACTCTACTCTACCTCAGCATATCTACTCTACCTCGGCATTTTTATGAGGATTAAATAAAATAGATATATATAAACACATTTAAAAAGTACTTGGAATATTGTAAATTCTCTATAAATACTGCTATTCATATATTCAAAAATTATCATGTTAACTATGGAAAATTATTCTATGAAATCAATCTATTTCAATTCATAATCCCAATCTACCTCTTTTTACAAAATGTATACATCTGAGGTTGAAATTTGTTTGGTTTACTAAATATCCAATATTTGAGACCAAAGCAAGAGAGCAAGGTCTGGGTACTTGCCCTGAGAGATACAAGATTTCTTTAATAAAATTTAATCCACAGCACTATATTTTATAAATTGGTCTTTGAATGAGAGAGCTTAAAAATGGTCCATGGTACACAATAAAAGTGTCATTATGCATCAATATGAAAAGGTAAACAATTCAATAAATGGAGAAACATAGAATTGATTGATGCTTCATATTACAAACACAGATAATTTTTGCTAGATATAGACCTAAATGTAAACAAATAAACAATGCAAACAAAATAAACCTATAACATTAACAGGAAAAAAAATCTATGTTTTTGAAGTAAAGCATACTACCTTCAATAACACAACTCTAAAGGCAACAACTACTAAAAATGCTCTTAATAAACTGCTTAATTTTTATTTGTGTACCTCTCTCACTCAGTACTCACTTTTTTTTTCTCCAAGCAGGATGTGTGTGGATATGAATGTTGTGTGTGCATATATGTGTCTGTTTAAGAGGGGACTATGTGAGAGAGTTTAAAAACATGAACACCTGATTGGAGTAAAAAAAAAGACACTTCAAAAAAATAAGAACAGTAGATCTACTTAAGAAATGTTCTTTAAATTCAGAAGAAACAGTAAAAAAGATGAAAATGTGGAGAAAGCAGCTACAAGGTCTGGAGGACAATTCATGGAACTCAAGCCTCATAATTATAGGTGTTACAAAAGAAGAAAACAGAACAAACAGAAGAGAAGCAATAATAGATGGTATAATGTAAGACAAGTTTAAAGGGCTGAAAAAAATGTGGTTGGCACATTGAAAAGGCTCATATAAAAGGCAAAATACATGTGAAGAGATACACATCTGGGCATATTTTTGGGGAAAATCTTAAAGGAAAAAATGTTTCTACTAGCATATAAGCAGAGAAAATAAATTATAAAGGCTATCAACAAGAAAAAAGTTAGGAATCATCACTAAATACTATATATCACATGCGAATTTTTAAATTATTTAACAGGAAAATGACTGTGCAAAAGCAATGGGAGAATATTTTCAGACACATGATGTTTTGAAAATGAGAGATGACCCAAATATAAGACTCAGGTAATACTTAAAATAATGACCTAGGGAAGAGATAAAAATTAAACCAGGGATACGACTGTACTAGGCCGTTCTCACACTGCTTTACAGAACTACCTGAGCCTGGGTAATTTACAAAGAAAAGAGGTTTAATTGGCTCACAGTTTCACAGCCTGTACAGGAAGCACAATGCTGGCATCTGCTTGGTTTCTAGGGAGGCTGCAAGAAATTTACGGTTATGGCGGAACGCAAAGAGAAAGCAGGCACATCTTACATGGCCAGAACAGGAGGAAGAGAGAGAGCAGGCAGGTGCTGCACACTTTTAAACAGACCTCATGAGAACTCTATCACGAGAACAGCACCAAAGAGATGGTGCTAAACCATCCGTGAAGGATTCACCCCCGTGATCCAGTCACCTCGCACCAGGCCCCTCCTCCAGCATTGTTGATTACAATTTGCCATAAGATTTGGGCGGGGATACAAATCCAAACCATATAAATGACAAAGATTTGCTTCAGAATTACAAGAATTATCCTCAGCAACATTAGACACTGATGATAACGTTGAACTCTCTTTGAATTTCTCAGAAAAAAATTGGTTTGAACATAGGATCCCATTTTCCGTCAAACTAGCATTCAAAAAGGATATGAACACAGGAAAAACAGAGAAATTCACCACACAAAGGGAGATGTATTATGCAATAAATAATGATGTGAACAGGAAAAACTGAGGAACAAGACTTAAAACAATAATGGTGCTACGAGGCTTTGAACATTTCCAATGATCCCAATGTCAAAATTTGGGAACCTGGAGTGAGAACAGGGAAAGCATGTTAAAATTGTCGTCGCTGCAGGGAAGAGAGATGTCAATTCGCATAGATGTTGATTTTTTAAAGAGTTTACATATATATTTAAATGTAATGATACTATTTAGATAATGGCAAGACACAATACAAAATTGGAAAAATACGCAAATGAGACACATAATTTCAGTATATAGTAACAAAATTAAACAAAGAAAATCTAATTAAACACAAAAGAGAAACACTACCAACAAGAAATTATGCTCCACAGGAAGCAAAAACAAAAAACATAAGTCCAAATAAAACAAATCACAATAAGAAATAAGTATTAAAAAGAATAGTAAAACTACATGAACAGACATGAGGAGTTCTTCAAAGCATACTTGCAAGGGAAATGTAACACAGAATGACACATTTTGAACTGCACAAGATAATAATTATATACGGTGTTAAATTAATTTGCCACTGACTGACAGACCAAATGGACTTCCCATGGCTGAGGTGCTCAAAGTGAAAACAGAACCAGGCAGCCATAGCTGGGTAAGGGAGCACTACCTTACTCTGTGTTGTCAGAAAAATGTTGTAAAGTATCAGTAGACCTCCCTTTCTACAACCAGACAAAACTATTCCTATTGTTCCCTGCCCTGGATGCCAAGATACACTGTGGCCAGACACCCCCTTATCCCTCACCTCACTCACACCTCTCACGCCCACAGTTTGAAAGAAACATCAGAGACTTCTGGTTTTGGGCTTTGAAACCAACCAATTAGAGCTCATCTGCATCAACTGATCAGGGATCCTCTGTATCCACCAATTAGAACTCAGCTGCACCAACCAATGAGAACTAAGCAATTTTCAATCCTTTGTTTGCTTAAGCTGGCCTTATTGGGAACCTAGGCAAAACCTTTTGCTATGAAACCCGGAGCCCTCCCTCTGCTCTCTGGAACACAGCTTCGTTTTACCCTGAAGCCTCCTTGTTTCCCCTGTTTGCAAACTGTTCACAGGAGTAAAGTCTCTTTCCTCCAAATTCCTTTGCAGAGAACTTTTGTTCAAAGTGGAAATGTATAGAAAAAGTAGAGGATGAATAAAAACCATCACCTCTGATGAGGGTGCTTGGAAGAGAATGAGGGATGAAGAGAGAGAAAGAATGTGTGTGCTGGTTCCTAGGCAGCATGCATGTGTATGGGCAAAGGGGCTTGCTTTCATGGTTACTCCATGTATCCCATCTGTGTTTTATGTGAACCTTTTATATGAGTAATTCTTTAAATTATTACTTGTGTAACATACGAGTAGAGCAATGAGAGGAGAAAAATGAGAAAGTTATCAATGATAAGCCATCCCTAAAACTCCCCGAAGATATTCAAATTCATCCCCTGCAACTGTTCAAAGTTAGGTTAATTACACTGCTGTAAAACTTTCTTTCTTGTTTAGCATAGAAAAAAAATTGAAAGATGTTCAAAAAGATTAGGAGACAAAATGTAACTCTGCCATCATAAGCAACAAATAATGCACTTTAAAAAAGAAGCACTGTCCCTTTTAACTGGTAAGTACATTTATTAAAATTGCATATATAATGTGACAAAATAAAATACAGCTCTACATTACAATATTAAGTTAAAAATGTGAGAAGGGTCTTGTTTGTCAAAATTCTTATGAACCTTTAACAGTTAAAACAAAATCTCACTGAAAAATATATTTGCCTGATTCTGTCTTCCCTACCTCCAAAGCTAAAACAAATCAGTTTCTGTATGGAAAAAAAATAAGGCATTTTGAGAACATAAGTTTGTCACTTCTCTTTAATAAAATAAAATTAAAGGGACAGTAAAGGAGGAAAAAGATGATTCTCCACACAACAGAGTAATTAAAGAAGAAATTGTTAAGGGCAAGCTGTTTCAAGACACCTCTGCAAGATGAATCATTAGTGAATACATTAAGGCTGCTGAAGCTATCAGAGGAAGGCATAGCATAGAAACTTAAACAGGGTTGGGAACATGAGAACGTGTCTGTGAATGTTTCTAGTGAGTTGGGGAAGTGAAAAGAGCCTCTAATCAACCTTTCTTTACACTGTTTTGCAAAATACTCAACGGTCATATGTTTATCCCATGGGAAAAACAAGATTTCTTACAAACACTGAAGAAACTGTTCTGAGGAACCTAGGATAGCTTGCTTGGGAAATGTTACTCGACAGGCAATGCTTTCTTTGTTTCGTTACATCCATAGGAAGTCATAGCAAAAGCTCCCAAAGCCTGCTTGACAACAAGACTTCACTGCCTAAATAAAGTTCACAGGGTGTGGGTGTGTGTGTGTGTGTTTATATTGCCTTATTCTAAGTATAAAGATGATCAAGGATCACTAGGCAATTGAAAAAGCATCAGAAGCAAAATATTCATAAAACTTTCCACCACAGCTTCAGGAAATATAATGGAAAGATACTTCAGTCAACTTTTTAAAATGTCAACGTATTTGTGCGGCAAATCAAAATGAGAAAACTGTACCAAAGTTCTGTGTACTTATCTCTCCTCATGTAATTATTTGCATAGAATAAAAAAGTACCTTAATGAAATGGAGAGAGATTCAAAGTAAATTAAAATACCTCACAGGGAGGTTAACAGGTACTCTTGAATTTACATTTACATTCTAAAATATGACATTTGATCTGATAAAGGTATACACAGATTAAGGGACAAATACTTCAGAAAATAGATGTGCTCCTTTATTGAGAGTTGAAAATTAAATAATTTACAAGCATTATCGTAATTTAAACTTTAGAGAAAGTAATAAAGCTAGAAATGGATGCTTTTCTAAATTTAATAACATTTCAGCACATATTAGCCTGAATTTAATATTAGCCTGAATTTAATACTAGCCTGAATTTAATAAGTGAAATATATAAAACCACACAAACTAGAGCAGTTCAAACTAAAAGGACTGGCAATACTAAACATTAGCAAGGATGCAGAACAAACTATACTCCCATGCATCACCAATGGGAGTGTAAACTGGTACAACTACCTTAGAAAACAGTTTGACCTTTTCTACTAAAGGCAAATCAGTGAGTCCCTACAACTTACTAAAAGGTACACTCCCAACAAAAATGACTTCACATATGCTCCAGAAGACATTTGCAAGAATGATCTCTGTGGCATTATTTATGGTAGACAAGACATGGAAACAACTCGAGTGTGCCTCAGTTAAATTCATAAATGGAAAATACTGTGTTTATATATTAGAATACTTTCACATAATAAAAATGTAAAGCTGTAACTCCACATACCCAACATGTGCAAATCTTACAAACATCATGTAGACCAACAGAATACATTCTGTATGACTCCATTGATATAAGGTTCAAAAATCAGCAAAATTAAAACATAGTAGGGCCGGGCGCGGTGGCTCACGCCTGTAATCCCAGCAGTTTGGGAGGCCAAGGTGGGCAGATCACGAGGTCAGGAGATGGAGACCATCCTGGCTAACACGGTGAAACCCTGTCTCTACTAAAAATACAAAAATTAGCCGGGCGTGGTGGTGGACGCCTGTAGTCCCAGCTACTCAGGAGGCTGAGGCAGGAGAATGGCGTGAACCCAGAAGGTGGAGCTTGCGGTGAGTTGAGATAATGACACTGCACTCCAGCCTGGGTGACAGAGCGAGACTCTGTCTCAAAAAAAAAAAAAAAATAGTAAAGAGTAATATATTCTTAGGTGGTAAAGTCGGGTTGCAAACTTAAGGCCTGAACATATGAATAAAATAAATATTATTGAATAAAAGTCATAGTAGAGGTTATTTTTTAGACAGGAGAAAGTGCAACTGGGGACAGGAGCACAGGACCCTTCGGCATACTCTGCTAGCATCATACTGTTTCGTCACGGGGCAATAGCTATAGGGGTACACTTTCAAATACTTAATTGCTCTGTGCATTTATATTTATGGTTTTTTATATGACTGCTATATTTTTATAATTGTCTAGAAATAAAAGCAAGTTATATGATTTTTGTGAAATGTTTGCTTTAAAATGTGTTCTTTTTAAGTATGGTGTCACTTGTAGTCTTAAAGATCTGTTTATGAATTGGTAAGCTCCTTATTGACAAAATGTCTAACATCTGAGTCTGACCATATTCATATATCCTTGGGCACCCGGGCCAAGGATATTTTTAATAATCAATTTCATATATAGCCAACTAAAATAGCATTGTAGTAGACTTTTCAAAAGAGAGTAATAGCAACCCAGCATTTCACCAGTCACATGCTTCAAATAGATTTTAGAAAAGTTCTCTTTGTCTGTTAAAGCAGAGTTCTTTGTGATTTACCAGATAGAACGAGGTTGATAGTTAACTTCAAATGCCTTCAGTGGATTCCAAATCAAGAACAAAAAACGCACATACAGAGAGGAAAAAATTAGAAAACTTTCAAACAAATCTCTTGATGCCACTTCTCTGAAACTTAAAAGTGTTTAATGTGCTCAGAAAGAAATATTAAATATACTTAATGTCTTAAATACTGAACTTAATGTCACACTATTTATTATTTGTCATCTCTTGAAGTTCATTCTGAGTTCCTGCTTTATACAGGATCTCTGATACTGGTATTTCATGTTCTTGCAACAAAACCCATGGCATGTAGACACTCAATGAATATTTATTGAATAAATGGTAACATGAGAAGCTGAATAGCCAGAAAAGAAAGAGATTGCTATGAAGCATCCCATTGTAACTACTTAAAGGATGCAAGGTTAAAAGATAAAGGAATCCTTACCTTCTGAGCAAAAAATTACTCCAGAGTAATCTGTCTTTAATTTTAAATAATGTGATGTATTTCTTCCCCGGTGTGCCTTTCAAGAAGCATGATACAAAAGAGATTAGGAGGACATGGTGCCTGCCCCACATGTAGGTTTGAGATGAATGGTGTGAGGAATCCACCGGCCAAAAACAAATCCCACACTAATGCAGCTTCCATAATGCTCACTGGCCGATCCCTGTCTTCAGTGTCTAATCTGTCAGAATGCAAACACGCTACAGTGTAAAGTTACCATGCTATAATTAGCAACTTTGTGCAGCTTACATAAAATAGTTTGTTTACCAGATCCTGTAGGCACTCACTTAATAAGATCTCATAGGAATAAAAAAGGCAGCAGATAATTTGGATGAGTAGAGAACTGAAAAACCTACAGCCAGAGATCTAGGAGGATGAAAAAGGGGTGCAGGCCATGGACTTCTTGTAAGATTCAAGTCAAGAGCTATTTTATTTTACCTGTCTTTTTCTACATCTCTGAGTACAAAAATATGTTGGCTCAATCCAAAAAATGTATTTAGGGCATATTTTAAATTTGCCTAATATCATGTTAAGTGATGCTTTTAATGTACCCTTCCATTGGAGGGTTGGAAAGGTATTTGTTGTCAACAAAACCTAAGTTAAAAAAGAAAAAAAAAAAGTCTTGTTAGCTTCAAGTTAACTTTGGAAGTATGTTTTAATTTGGCATTCATAAAAACAAACTGAATTTTTTTCTTGTTTCTATTGACTTGCATTGTCGTCAAATAAAACATAATTTGCAAGTCAAATAGGACTTTTAGTCTAATAACATTCAGCCTCCTCAATCTTATAACTGCTTTCAACATGGGCTGATTCTTATGGTATTTGCCAACCATATTCCTGAATACTGTGGTTAAACTATTATTTCTGGATTTCTCAATTTTAGACACCATGTAGTGCTTTTCTACAAAGTATTAAAAACGAGGATCTAACTCTTATTTCTTACATCACACACACACACACACACACACACACAGGCTTCCTCTCCCCTCAGCCTCCCAATAGAGTTCTACCACAATTTTTAGCTAAGTCAGCAATAATAATTTATATTTTTGTCCCTATAAAATGTTATTTACAACTGAACCATGCACAGTATTATGATTCTTTTAAAATATAGCTTTTTCTTCTTAAATCCTTCAGTTAAAAAGTCTTAGTTTTTGTTAGTCTTGTTTTGCTTTTTGATGGTGTGACTTTTTTTTCCCCATGTACTTAGCACTAATTCCTCCCAAACACTACAGGAAAGGGGTTTTATAGTATGGTTAAAACTATGTAGCAATCTATTAGTTTACCACTTACTAATGTTCTTATCAATTTTATTACTTTAAAAATGATAACCCTGCACATCTGATTGATTGTTTTGGGGGCATGCTTCATAGTGCCATTTGGATCCTTTCACATCACCTTAAAACTCTCCTTAAGCATCACCCTGAGAAAGAATTGCTTTCACTTCCCTCCTTTGTTGGGATCACGTTTCCTGCATCCCATATCTTTTTGTTTGTTTGTTTTTTGTCTTGACACTACTTTCCTGTCATTTCCTGAGAAACTGTGCAGAGGAAGTAGGATGTTTGAGAGCTGGTGTATCTGAAAAGAACTTCATTCTATTTCCACATGTAATTAATAGTTAATTACAGGGTATAGAAGTCCAAGATGGAAATTGTTTACCTTCTACATGTTAAAAAATGCTTTTCACCGTCACTAGACACCTTTCAATTGTTGAAAAGTCTTGTACATCAGCAGTCCTCAACTTTTTGGCACCAGGGACCAGTTTCGTGGAAGATCATTTCTCCATGGACCAGGGAGTGAGGGGTGGTTTCAGGATGTTCCAAATGCATTACATTCATTGTGTATGTTATTTCTATTATTATTCCATTGTAATATATAATTAAATAATTATACACTCACCATAATGTAGAATCAGTGGGAAACCTGAGCTTGTTTTCTTGCAACTAGACAGTCCCATCTGGGGGTGATGAGAGACAGTGACAGATCATCAGGCATTAGATTCTCATAAGGAGTGTACAACATAGATCCCTTGCATGTGTGGTTCACATGATCTGATGGGAGGTAGAGCTCAGGCAGAAATGGAAGCCATGGGGAGTGGCTGTAAATACATATGAGGCTTCACTCATTCACCCGCCACTCGCCTCACGTTGAGTGGCCTGGGCTAACAGGCCGCAGACTGGTAACAGTTTGGATGTATTTTTTTCTGATGAAACTTTTGGGATTTTCTACTTGTGACAGTCTGAAATTTTACAATGATATACCATAATTAGGGTATTTTTCTATTCATTGTACTAGGCATTTGATGGTCCTTATCAATCTAGAAACAGTTGTCCTTCAGTTCTAAAAAAAAAAATTGTAAAATTTGTTAGGCACTCACTACAAGTACCCACCACCAAGACACATACTGTTTGTATTTTTCCTCCATCTCATTAGAGATTTCATTTTTTTTCCATTTATCATTGTATTTTTAAATTTTTTGTTAATGTATTTTAAATTCCCAAGATCTCTTTGGTCTTGTCTGAACTTTCCCTTTTTAATTGCTTCCTATTTTCTTTATTGCATTCAATATCTAATATTCTAATCTTGAGAATAGGCTTTATAGTTTTTTAAAAATGCATTTTGCTCCTGGCTTTATCTCTGTTTCTGCTAAGTCCATTTATCTACTTGTTTGTCTTGTATTATTTTTCATGTTGCAGCTTTCCTCATGTGTATGATGATGATTATTAGTTCTTTAGTCACAATGAACAGTAGGGCACCATAAACCCATTTGGAAGTACCGTGCTTGAAGATAAGCAGGGTATGTAAACTGATGCAAAGTCACTTAGAAAAAATTTGCCAGAAGAAATGGGGCTTGACCAATGATATGTAGTCAATAGTAGAAACAACACTGTGGTAAGTAGGTTAAGTTGAGCTGAATTTTGGACAGCTTTTGTTGGAGATGTCTGAGAGAGATCGAGGTCAAGTTAGAACAATGCAGGCAGTTGTAAAGAAAGATCTGGTATAATTGATGTGATATAAAAGTGATAGCTGAAACCAGATGATGGATTTAACTGCCAAGATAGACAAGCATATGAGAAAAAAGTCACTTATTCCCTGAGCATAATCTGAACTAAAATCCAAATTACTATTTGGAAGTTTCTTTTCACTTTTAAGGAATATCTTCCACATAAGCAACAGAAGAGCAATCATCAAAAAAAAAAAAAAAAAGAAGAAGAAGAAGAAACTACTGGGTGGGAAAATTGTCATATTGTAATTATTCAAAAGTATCCATAGTTAGGATAAAAATAATTAAGGTAAGTGGGCTGATAATAAAGATTTATTATCTTCAGCCTTCTAAGCACTTATCTAATTCATAACTAGTAAGCACTAGAGTATTGAAAGAGCCTTTCATGTCGCAGATTTTTATTGTAAAATATGAAACTCTACTGAATATTCATAAAGTCCTCCTGGGAATCATTGACAACTTTAGTATATACATGGGATTATTAACTAAACTGTTATGTGCACATTCATTCACCCATCCATTTACATATATATGCATATATATGTGTGTATACACACACACACACACACACACACATATGTACACACAAACTTGCCTTTGAATACACATTGAATTTGAGGAATTAAAAGAGAAAATTAGCAGGAGATATAACATGCTGGTAGTTTGGCCTAAGCCAAACTTCTCAAATGAGAAATTCTAAATTTCTCATTGGGAATATTTTGGAAGTTGATTTCTTTGCAAGATTCTCATTGGTCTTCAAAGTTAAAAGTTTAAGTAAAATGAAAAGTATAATTAAGTTTTAAGTTATTTAGATATTATCTTGATGTTTCATACTTCTGTGACTGGTCTTACCCATAGGTACTTCTCATTTTCAGGAAAATATACCTGTTCCTATTCATCTCCCAGGGACTGCAGGACTGAAGACAAAGTGAGCTCCATTGCTCTACCTCTGTGTATCTTCACTGTATCCATTCATGGCAATAGAATAGAAACAGAATGAAATCCACAAGTTCCCCACTATCCTGTCTTCATCACTGATGATGATGAAGAAACTGTATCATACCAGCAATGAGGAAAGAGCAGAATTCAGAATACCCAGATTTGAATTCTTGCTTTACTGTTCATAAACTATAAAAGGATGCAAATAAAATTATCAAGTAGCTTCAAAGGTTATAATGAGGAAAAATATAAAACACGTATCACAATGCCTGGCATGTAATAAACATCCAATAAATATTAGCTACTATAATAAAGCTAATAGCTAACCTTGGAGGGTTTACACTGATCCAGGCACCACTACTACAAGTACTGGGTCCTATCTCCAATTTCTCCATTGCCTGCAGAGAACAACTTATTGCTGATTTTTCTTTACCACTGTGCTATTAAAGCAGTTTGACCTCATAAATTACATTGTTCTATCTCGGGATCTGAGCTATAGTCTTATTTTCCTTCTTGTCCTTGCATTATGTATAATGCTGATTAAGAACAATAGAATTGAAGGGTGGAAGATGGGCTTCTTGCTTCTTGCACATAATCAAGAGCCAACAGAGCCTTAAGTTCTCACTGCCACTCAAGACACTTGGACAAAGGAATAAAACCAGAAGAAGGAAACAGGAAAGTGAAATTGAACCACAGTTTAAGGAAGGAAAATTATTTTAAAACAAAAGCAAACCTAAAAATGATAGCTAAAAGTAATACTTGGTTAAACTTTTATCTTAATTGTATACACAATAGAAGTAAGATATTTTCACTTTGATCTTAAGCATAGTATTTCAAAAAATGAAGGGAGTGACATTTTCAACAGACATATTGTTAAATGAATAATAAAGGATATAAGTACTCAAGAACAACTAGAATTCCATTTCTTTAATAATGAACTAGGTCTAAAATTATTCCAGGTATGTTAACATAATTTTGAGTGTGGTGGCTCCCTCAGTTGGGTAATTGGCCATTTAGTTCATTTATTAGATTACCATGACTTTGTAGCAGTACTCCTGTTACTATTATCACCCCAACGCATTATAAGAATTGAAGTAGCTGGACACGATGGCTCACGCCTGTAATCCCAGCACTTTGGGAGGCCAAGGCAGGCAGATCACGAAGTCAGGAGATCGAGACAATCCTGGCCAACATGGTGAAACCCCGTCTCTACTAAAATACATAAAAAATTAGCCGGGCATGGTATTACGTGCCTGTAGTCCCAGCTACTCGGGAGGCTGAGGCAGGGGAATCCCTTGAACCTGGAAGGAGGAGTTTGCAGTGAGCTGAGATTGCACTACTGCACTCCAGCCTGGTGACAGAGTGAGACTCCATCTAAAAAAAAAAAAAAAGAATTGAAGTAGTATCTCGGGATGTACTGAGTAAATGTACTGAGTAAATCAGAACTTGCTTCCATGATCTAGTAGTTCTGAAATTCAAAGCAAGTAATGCAATATTTTCTTAATTAATTTTCTTAATTCTGACTCTTGTACCCCCTCCAATAAACACACACACACACACACACACACACACACAGTCACTCTGAGAGAGGGAAATCTATAAAAATATGTTATTAAAAGTATTTTTAAAATTAAGGAGCACTTTTCTAAGTCCCAGATACAAAAAAACTTGTTATGTGATATTTACCTCAATTCTCTAGAAGTAAATGCTCTATTGTCTATATGCGTGTTTATATTTGTTAATAGGTATCTTGTCTATGCCTAAGCAAACACTGAGTGAAAGATTTGCATTATGAATGTATGTCAATGCAATTTATATTCTTTTTTTCTATTACATTAGTGAATTTTATTTTATTTTTAAGTTAATTTTATTTTAATTTTCGAGATACTTGTGCAGGACGTGCAGGCTTGTTACACAGGTAAACATGTGCCATGGTAGTTTGCTGCACCTAGAAACCCATTGAAATTCATATCCAAATATAATTTTTGCTTTATTTTAAAATCATTTGTATTAACTTTTGATTATTTTTCTAAAATCCCTACAGAAAACAAACAAAATATTTTATGTCAGTGTACGAAGGCAGCAATACGGAGAACTTGATAAGATGGTGAATGAAACATAAATACTTTATTTTCTGCTATCAACTTCAAGTCTATTTTCTTTAAGTTAATGTTTCTAGGCTTCTGCTAGATGGGTGGGTGATATGGTTTGGCTCTGTGTCCCCACCCAAATCTCACCCTGCAGCTCCCATAATTCCCACATGTTGTGGGAGGGACCCAGTGGGAGATGACTGAAACATGAAGGTGGGTCTTTCCTGTGTTGTTCTCGTGATAGTGAATGGGTCTCACGAGATCTGCTGGTTTTAAAAATGGGGGTTTCTTTGCACAAGCTCTCTCTTTGTCTGCTGCCATCCACATAAGATGTGACTTGCTCTTTTTTGGCTTTTACCATGATTGTGAGTACTCCCCGGCCATGTGGAACTGTAAGTCCAATAAACCTCTTTCTTTTGTAAATTGCCCAGTCTCAGGTATGTCTTTATCAGCAGCATGAAAACGGCCTAGTACAATGGGACATCCAGAGTGTGTGGAAACTGAGGATAGAAGATAATAGCACATTAGGGATGTAACAGTAAGAGAGAGGGAGATCATCAGAACAAAGAGAAGCAAACTAAAAAAAATAAGGATTCTCTTTTTTTTAACCTGTTAACATTTTATTTTTAATGTTTTGTACAGAACTCCCAAGTTCTCCAACTAGAACAGATCTCCAAAACAAAACAAGCAAAACTCAGGTACCAAACCATTACTTAAATAGCAAAGACTGTTCCATGTTTTTTTGATACACGCTCTTTTGCAAAGAGATAGACAGAGATAATGTGAACAGAAAACTAACAAGATAACTAAGGGGATTCATACATAGAACAAACCAACTCGAACCAAAGAAAAGCTATAAGCCTACAATTTTCCAAATAACAAAATGAAATGTAAATCATAGGAGGAGAATGAAATATACTAAATATTCAAATAGACAAAATTTCAAAATATAGAGCAAAATATAAAGTGACAAAATTGTGGTGGAAAAGATAAAATGCTATGACCTGGTTATGTAACATATAGATAATAGGCATTACAAAGGAAGAAAAAATAAATGAAGGAGATGCATTAATTGAACAAATAATAGAAGTTTTCCTGAAGTGAAAAAACACTTGAGTCTGCAGGTTGAAAGAACAAACCACAGACAGGACTGGGTTGATGAGATAAACCTCCACCTGGATCTATCCTACAGAAACTACTGAACTGGGAAAACAGAGAAGAAAGCTTATGGGCATCTGGGTAGATATGAAAGGTTGGAAACAAAATGAAGAGATCGAATTGGGGTTATCCTGTGCTACATTTGAAACTAGAAGGCAGTAGCCATAGATTTTATAGACCCCTGAGAGAATAGGACTTCAAGACTGGAATCCTAGTCTGGATCACACAATTTTCTTATTTGAGCAATATACAGTATTAATGATGTAGACTTTGTACAGTAAAGCAAGCCACACAGATAATTCATCTGAGTAAAGTGACAGAGGAGTGTAACCACACAACAAATGACCTGAAACAGACACCTCAACAAGATAGAGGAAGAAGTAACCACAAATTCTGACTCTTGTACCTCCTCCAATAAATGCACACACACACACACACACGTAAACACACATAATGATGTATGCTCCAAGAATATATGACATAAATTATAAAGAAAAACATTGAAAGAGCAGGATATACTTCAAAGCAAATTCTAATAATGGCCCAAAACCCAATAAATAACAGGCTCCAAGGAAAGCTAGATATTCCATAGGTGTGAGGTGGCAGCAAAATAAAAATAATCCAATTATTTCATTTGATAAAGGAGAGGGAGAAGGGTGGGCAGGAGACAAGTAAACGTATTCTTCCTGTCTCTTGGACTGAAATTGCAGTTGGGGAGTAAGGTGGGGGTAGAGTAGGAAAAAAAATCAGGATTTGAGAATCACTATATTTATGGGAAAATATAATATTGTTTTCAAAAATAGAGAAATATATGTTTAACTAGAGGTTAAAAGCAGAGGAAGATAACTGTGCAATATAATATCATATGTATAGAACTTTTAAATTAACAAGCAGAAATAAATGGACAGGACTGAAAAATAATAGGCCTAAAGAACATATACTAGAAGACAAAAGAAGAAACAATAAAACTTAAGACATGTTAAATAATATGGAAAGAATAAAACCATGTAGGTAAATACTACAATTAATCAAATTGCAAAGATGAAATATCATTATTATTTCTAATTAATAGAAACGAAGAGCTGGTACTTCAGGGTTTTCAGTCAGTCCTCTGATTATTACAGCCAATCTCTAATTGTTTGTTTAAATCCTATGCCACTTCCTCTCTAACTAACATCACTTTAAGAATATATTGGTTTTATTGTCAAACTGTTTTATCAATTTTCTCTGAAAAATTATCAATTTTGTGTCAATTGTCATAGAAATATTTAGTTAGCTTTCTTGTGTTGAAGTTGAGAAATATGATCTTTATGTAAGATTATGCAACAACTATTTTCTGTGTTATAATAGCAATATATAATTAACCCCACACTGGCCCCTCAGCTAAACATTGATGTAAAAATTTAGCTCATTTATGATAAAAGTATCTACAGTCTTCATATATCTCATACATTATAAGGAAAGTTGAAAAAGTCTTGTGGGTTTTAGATGAGTTTTCCAGCTACGTAAATATGAGTCATGGAAATGTATAGTAAGTTTGTTTCAGGTGCAAGTATTTTAATTATTTACACTGACACTGGTGAATCTCATTTATAATTTTGAATTCTGCGAAATAATGCCAGAGACATCTGATCATAAATGAATACCACATTTACACTTTTTAAACACATGCAAGCACACGACATACACAGGCGCCTCACTAGACCACATTTTTTTTGTATGTCCCCACTGTGAATATTCTCACCTTAATTTCGGAGCATCGATCCACATATTTATACATAGAATATATGTCATTGGAATATGAAATCCAGCTTATGTATTTTTCAGAAATCAGAAGTGAGGCCTTTAAGTATAAAATGAAAGTTTGTAGCAATGGCTATGTATCTGATGACACAGCAGTTTGGAGTATTTGGACCCCAGGATCAATGTAATGGGCATCCCACCAGGCCTAACACATTTTGCCTGACAAACGCTGGTTGAGCTGAACCCTACATAGCCAGAGATCTTCAGAGAAATCCAGTTATGTCAAATTTATTTCTAAATAGTTCACTATAAGAATTATCTTCTGCAAATAAGCTCTAGACTTCCTTTTTCTGTTCAGATGTAAAAAAAAAAAAAGGTATTTCATGGCTGATAAATAATTCAAATATTATTTTTCTCTCATGTTGCACCTCTTAGACTGAGTCTCAATGTTGTGGTGATAGGTGGGAACCAGTAACTAAAAGGCAGCAGCACGTTGACATGGTTTCCTAAGCTGCAGAGCAAGTATTCTGAAAGCTTATTCTTTCTTTGGGACAAGATGCTGGTTATTTTTGTTATAAGTATATTATCAAAAGTAAAGTGACTTCAAGAGAATGAGAGTATAACTCACACACAAAATATGCAACAAATATTAAAATCTCAACAATAAGAAAAAGAACAACCTAATGGAAATATGCATGAAAGATCTGAAGAGACTTCTCACCGAAGAAGATACATAGATGGAAAATAAGAACATGAAAAGGTGCTCAATATCATATGTCATTAGGGGAATGAATATTAAAATAACAGTGAGATGCCACTACACACCTAGTAGACTGGCAGAAGTCCAACAACATCACCAAACGCTGAGGAGGATGGGGAACAACAGGAACTCTCTTTGCAGTTGGAAATACAAAATGGCACAGCCACTTTGGATTATAGCTTAGCAGTTTCTTACAAAATTAAACATCCTCTTACCATATGGTACAGCATTCATACACCTTCGTATATACTCAAATGAGTTGAAACCTTATGTCTGCATCAAAACCTGCAAATGAATATCTATAGCAGCTTTACCTATAATCATCAAAATTTGGAAACAACTAAGATGTCCTTCAGTGGGTGAATGAATAAACTGTGATACATTCAGACCATATAGTATTTTTCAGCACTAAATAGAAATGATCTATCAAGCCATGAAAAGACACGCAGGAATCTTAAATGTATATTACCGAGTGAAAAAAATCTGGAAAAGCTACCTACTATATGATTCCAGCTATATGACATTCTGCTGATAGCAAAACTATGGGGACAGTAAAAAGTAAAAAGGATCAGTGGTTGCCAGGAGTTAAGGGAAGGGAGACACGAATGGGCAGGGCACAGACAATTTTTAGAGCAGTGAAACTACAATGAATACAGCAATGAATCTACAATGGTACACAAGTGTGTCAAAACCCATAGGATGTATATACCAAGAGTACACCCTAAGGTAAACTATGAACTTTGGATAATAGTGATTTGTCAGCATAGGCTCATCAACTGTAACAAAGCTACCACTGTGTTGGGGATATTTATACTAGAGAAGCCTGTGTGTGTTCAAGTCAGGGAATATATGGGACCTCTCCATGCTTTCTGTTTAATTTTGCTGTGAACCTAAAATTCTTCTAAAAGCAAAGTCCATTTTAAAAACATCAACAACAAAGTATAATTATCTTTAAATTATTTTTTCAAAAGGTTTTTTTTAAAATTTTATTATTATTATACTTTAAGTTTTAGGGTACATGTGCACAATATGCAGGTTTGTTACATATGTATACATGTGATATGTTGGTGTGCTGCACCCATTAACTCATCATTTAGCATTAGGTATATCTCCTTATCTCCTAATTCTATCCCTCCCCCCTCCCCCCACCCCACAACAGTCTCCGGTGTGTGATGTCCCCCTTCCTGTGTCCATGAATATGGTAAATCATGCAACAATCAAAACTACCACAGATTTGGCCAATAGTTGCAATATTGAAGACTGTATTTTTAATGAATAACTGACTAGTTTGAATCATATGAAATCATCGCCAACTGTTTTTGAGCTTTAAAAGGCACAAATTAATATGTAACAAGCTAATAAACACAGTACTTTAAAACTAGGGTTATTCTGGCAAAGTTAAATATATGTCCATCTTTTCAAATCAATTTTTCTACCATTTTCCAGATCCAATTTTCCCCAAACCATTTATTAGTACTGCACCACACTTCCTGACACTCTTGATTCTGACCAGTATTTTACTTGAAATTTTGTCAGTACGTAATAAAAATATATTTAATTATAATGTAAAGAATATATATACTTCAATCTCTTTAATCAATTCTCTTTCTCATTCACTACATTGTAAGCTTTTTTGATGTTGAGACTATGATTTGCTTATCATCTATTATTTTCTAACTCCCACTATCTGTATCCAGTGGATACTTAAAAAAATAATGATAATTGACGGTTACATTCAGGAACCATAACATAATTTATTGTAACTGTTGCAATACATTACGTTATGGTTAAAGTGACTCCAAAAGTTCTCCAAGGATTGCAGACTCCTTTATGGCCTTGACCAATCACCTGGGCTGTGTGAACGATAATCATAAAAATCCTCTCTCTGAATACAGCATCTGTCTACTACTTAAAAGGGCATGGATAATATCCTCTGTAATGCCCTAAGGCTGTTTCTTGACATCTGGCAGCAATTTCTCTATTCATGTTTTGAGGCCAGAAGGTGACAAATGAGAGAATGTCTGACAACAGTGTGCTACCCCTGCTTTCAATCTATGTGCATGATGATGGGGATATCTAGAGCATCACGGAAATATAATAAACTCTTGCAGTAAACACATTTCTCCTGGCTATACAATGATGTTTACAACATGACCACTTTTAAACTACTTTCAAGAAAATTATCATATTTAAAATAGATAGTAAAGAACATGAAAATCCATTTATCATAACATAAGAGACCTTATAGATGATTCCTGAGTTTTTTTTTTCCTTTTACCTAGAACACAGACAATGCACAATAAGAATGCTTTAGAAATTCGAACATATTTTAGTGTACTCTGCTAATTCACAACCTCTCACAAGATATATGAGTTTCCATATGGTTTATTAAAAAAGAACCCTATTGTGTTTTAACCACAGGCTCTTGTTCTTGTATATAAATAAGATTGCATATACTTAAATGTTAAATCTCACCCTGAAACTGCCGAATTTTTCCCTATGCACACAGTAATTACTGTATCTTTTATCCAAGGAAATGGAATATTTTCTGTTGCTTACACATCATTTCCAATAAGAAATGTGTTAATGGTAGAAAATATTTAAGGGACAATTAACATGAAATCCATTAACTCTAACCCACTACCTACCAAAGAGAAGCTACTACATACAGTAATCAGTGTGCACAAATGAAAGTATGGCTCTGTTGAGTCAGTGATTTCCATGTGCTGGGATGGCTTCTGGCTTCATCTCTTAACTCTGCTCAGTCTCCGTCAGTGACCCTTGGCCGTCTCCAACTACTCAAGCTGCAAACAGACTGAAACCAATTTGTTTTCCTTATGTTTTTAAAGCCACTAGCCTGGTATGCTAATTAGAAATAAATCGCTTGACCCATAAAAGAAACGGCAGGAAACCTGAAATGAAGGCATTATCCAACACTTCATGCTCCTTAGTGATGCCATTTTAAATATTTCAGACAGCCTATAAATAATTAAAACCTCACCACAGCAAATTATGTCCTATTATGCAAATAAATAGCCTCCTCCCTGGTTTCATTAAAGATTCTAAATGACAAGCTGAGCAGTTTAAACATAGCAAGGTATTGCAGCGAGGCGAGAAATCTTTCAATATTTTTTTAATTGTTAGTGCCAAGTTTCATGTGGATTTTTACTCTAACACTTTAATTTGCATGAGCAAATAAACCTTTAATAAACCTTTTGTAAGTGGAGGAAATGCATCATTTAATTAAATTTGATTTGTTGTGAAACTATTGTGCCTCATGCATATTTAACAGCCACAAACTCTCCTTTTTACTGAAAAGAGTGCAATATTACATAAGAGAATAATTTTCAAAAGTGAACTGACAGTATCTGAGAAATTGAGAGTAATCAATAAATCCTTTGGATTAACTTTTCAATAACGTTGATAGACCTGCACACATATAAATATCAATTGAGTGCATAAATTTAGCTACTTCATGTCAAGTTTCTATGCATACTTTTTGAAACCAATATC
Source organism: Homo sapiens (assembly GCF_000001405.40). Lineage (NCBI taxonomy): Eukaryota > Metazoa > Chordata > Mammalia > Primates > Hominidae > Homo > Homo sapiens. Next base: position 180,280,348 of record NC_000004.12, on the reverse strand, counting down.
AAAAACAGGTTTAGTTTGTGAAGGTTTCAAAACTAATTTGTCAAAACTTTCAGTCTTAGTTTCTGTTTCCTTAAGGTGTTTGATTCACGTCAAGTTAAAAGAACCCTGAGGATTATAAAGTAGACTACATTCACTGTAATACGCTGTGGGGGGAAAACACCCTATTTTTTTAGTCTACAAATGTTCTATTATAACAGAGATGCCACAGAATAGAGAAATGCACTCTAGTCAAAGTATATAGATATCTTGGCCCATAAATAATTAAAATATTATATTCCCCTGAAGCATATTCTCACATTTTTACTTCAATTAAAACATTATAAACATCAAAGGATATTCTATAATTACTTTACTGGTAATTAATTGTTGAAGGATTGTCTGCCACATTGTAATATGCCAACAGAACACTGCTTCTAGTAATAATAAATGTGACTTTCTCTCACACCTACAAGCCAAGGAGTTTTCTAAAACCCCTTATATACTCTTATTAACAATTTTAAAAGGTCATTGTGAGTTGAAAAAAACTTGTTATATGTAGTATAAATTATGCTTGCATAAAATCTTAATGAAAATAGGTAGATTTATCACCTCAGAAAATAAAAAAGTTAACGGGATAATTATTATATGAATAAGCTAAATGATAACTGTCTTTGAAAATATTGTGATATGTTATTTATGTTATGGTAGCCTAGATATTTTTAGAAAATAATTTTGATTTAACAATGATTATTATAAATATATGAAGACTTTTAGTAGAGTCAATTATATTCAAGTAATGGTACTTGCTAAAGAAAAGGAATGGTTCAGTAATTATTCAAAAAAAAAAAGGTGGCTTGGCTTAGACTTTATCAATGTCCTCAAAATATCAAGCATCTCCCTTTCCCCAATAGTTAAATTACCACTTACTTTGAGAAAGAATAGTCATACCTCCCTATCCACCACACACATTCACCAAGACTTATAATTACTTTACCTCTGAGTCCACCATTGTATCTTTTATTCTTGTCTCAGAAGATGAGGTCTCCCTCCTCATGGATAATCTCTTTAATAGACTTCATCCTATTTCCCTATTTTTCATTTAGGTTTTCCTCAATAATAAGTAACTTAGCTTTATTCTATTTTCAACTTCTCTTTCTCTGCCACCTCTTATCATTCTTTCTTATCATTGAAATAAATGAAAAACAAATCTATAAATGATTCCTATGTCAACAAATGAAATCAAGAGAAAATCCCTCTCCTTACTCCATGCTTCTCTCTAGTTGCCACTCTTTCGTTTCACTCCCTGTTAATAAATTCCATTCACGTTATACAGGCACACCTGAGAGATACTGCAAGTGAGGGTCGAGATCACTGCAATTAAGCAACTGTCCCAATAAAGTCACAATTTTTTCGGCCCAGTTACATTTACACTACACTGTAGTCTATAAAATGTATAATAACATCATGTCTAAAAAACCAATGAAAATACCGTAATTAAAAATATTTTAATGCTAAAACTGCTAACAGTCATCTGAGCCTTCAGCCAGTTATAACATTTCTGCTGGTGGAAGGTCTTACCTCCATATTGATGGCTGCTGATGATGACAACGATGGTGGTTAAATCCTGGGGTGGCTGTGACAATTTCTTTTCTTTTTCTTTCTTTTTTTTTTTTTTCTTTTTTGTAGATGGAATCTCACTCTGTGGCCCAGGCTGGAGTGCAGTGGCACAATCTCAGCTTACTGCACCCTCTGCCTCCCAGGTTCAAGCAATTCTATTGCCTCAGCTTCCCGAGTAGGTGGGACTACAGGAGCACGCAGCCACGCCCGGCTAATTTTTTGCATTTTAGTAGAGATGGGGTTTCACCTGGGTTTCCCAGGCTAGTTGTGAATTCCTGAGCTCAGGCAATCTGCCCGCCTCGGTCTCCCAAAGTGCTGGGATTACAGGTGTGAGCAACCATGCCTGGCCGATGATTTCTTAAAATAAGACAATGAAGTTTGCCTCATCAATTGACTCTTCCTTTCAGAAAAGATTTCTTTGTAGCATGCGTTGCCGTTTGATAACAATGTACCCAAATTAGAAGTTCTTTCAAAACTGGAGTCAATCTTCTCATACCCTGTGGCTGCTTTACGAACTAAGTTTACAGAGTATTCTAAACCCTTTGTTGTCATTTCAACAAAGTTCATCGCATCTTCACCGGAAGTAGAGGCTGTCTCAAGAAACCACTTTATTTGCTCGTCCATAACAAGCAGCCTCTCATCCCTTAAGGATTTATTATGAGGTAGCAGCAATTCAGTCACGTTTTCAGGCTCTGCTTCTAATTCTAGTTATCTTGCTATTTCCAGACCATCTTCAGTTACTTCCTCCACTGAAGTCTTGAACCCCTCAAAGTCATCCATGAGAGTTGGAATCAACTTCTTTCAAAGTACTATTAATGTTGATATTTTGACCTCCTTGTTCTTAATGCAATTTAGAGTAATGAAACATTTCCAGAAGGTTTTCTCTTTTTTTTTGCGATGGAGTCTTGCTCTTTTATCCAGGCTGGAGTGAGTGGCGGGATCTCGGCTCACTGCAACCTCTGCCTCCACGTTCCAGCAATTCTCCTGCCTTGCCTCACTCAGCCTCCTGAGTAGCTGGGATTACAGGGGTGCACCACCTTGCCAGGCTAGTTTTTGTATTTTTAGTAGAGACAGGGTTTCACCATGTTGGCCAGGCTAGTCTTAAACTCCTGACCTCAGAAGATCTGCCCTTCTCAGCCTCCCAAATTGCTGGGATTACAGGTATGAGCCACCATGCCCAGCCTCCAGAAGGTTTTCAATTGACTATACCCAGATCAATCAGAGGAATCACTATCTATGGAATCTATATCCCCATGAAATGTATTTCTTGAATCATAGTGCTTGAAAGTCAAAATTACTCCTTGATCCATGGGTGGCAGAATAGATGTTCCATTGGCAGGCCTGAAAACAACATTAATCTCCCTGTACATCTCTATCAGAGCTTTTGGATGGCCAGGTGCATTGTCAATGAGCAGTACTACTTTGAAAGGAATATTATTTTCTGTGCACTAGGTCTCAAAAGAAAGCTAAAAATATTCAGTAAATCATGCTATAAACAGATGTGCTGTAATCCAGGTTTTGTTCCACTTACCACAGGCTACGTAGATTTAGCATAATTCTTGTTTTAAAATTTTCAGAATGGTAAATTCATATTGGCTTCAACTTAAGGTCACCAGCTGCATTAGCCCCTAATAGAAGAGTCAACCTATTCTTTAAAGATTTGAAGCCAGGCATCAACTTCTCCTTCTTAGCTATGAAAGTCCAGAGGAGATCTTCTCCCAATACAAAGCTGCGTTTTTCACTAAAAATTTGTTGTTTTAGTGTAGGCCCTTTCACCAATTATTTTAGCTAGGTCTTCTGGATAACTTGCTGCAGCTTCTCCATCAGCAGTTGCTGCTTCACCTTACATTTCTATGTTATGCAGATGGCATCTTTCCTTAACTTCGTGAGCCAGCCTCTCCTAGTCTCCTACTTTTCTTCCGCAGCTGCCTCACCTCTCTCAGCCTTCATAGAATTGAAGTGAGTTAGGGCCTTCCCCTAGATTAGACGTTGGCTTAAGGGAATAGTGTGGCTGGTTTGATCTTCTACTCAGGCCACTAAAACTTTCTCCATGTCAACAATAAGGTTTTGCTTTCTTCTCATTTGTGCGTTCATTAAAGTAGCACTTTTAATTTCCTTCCAGAACTTTTCCTTTGCATTCATAATTTGGCTAGTTTTGGTGCAAGAGGTCTAGCTTTTGTCCCATATTGGCTTTTGACATGCCTTCCTCACTGAGCTTCGTCATTTCTAGCTTTGGATTTAAAGTAAGAGACATGTAACTATTCCTTTCACCTGAATACTTAGAAGCCATTGTAGGCTTAACTGGCCTAATTTCAATATTGTTGTGTCTCAGAGAATAGGGATGCCCAAGGAGAAGGACAGAGATGGCAGAACAACAGGTCAGTGGGGCATTCAGAACACACACAACACTTAACAAGTGAGTTTGCCGTTTTACATGGTTCTGGTTCATGGCACCCCAAAACAATTACAACAGTAACATCAACGATCTCTGATCACAGGTTACCGTAACAGGTGTGATAATAATGAACAAGTTTTAGTTATTGCAAGAATTACCAAAATGTAACAGAGGCCAAAAGAGAGAAAGAACGTGCTGTTGGAAAAAAATGCTGCCAATAAACTTGCTCCACACAGTTGCCAAAACCTTTAATTTGTAAAAAATGTAGTATCTGTGGTTGTTTTAACCACAAGGTTAAAATTTGTAAAGCAAGGTTCAATAAAATGAGGTGTGCCTATATACATTTATGAAAATAGTAATTTACTTTTATATTTTCACTGTCTAATTTTCACCAACTACTTAATCCCCTTTAATCTCACTTCTGCTGCCATAAGTAGTGCCTTGGACAGTGTTTTAACAAATGGTCTCCTATTTTGTGAGACCAATGTACACTGTTCTTAAACTTCCTGTGGCTTCTGTTCCTATCAGCAATTTATAGTCTTGAGAACATGCCTTACTTGGTTTCCTTACATGATCCTCTCTAGGTCTCTGTCCTCTTCCTAAATGTTCTTTCCCAGTCTCCTTCCTCCTTCTTCTCTGTCCCTGTGTCCCTCTTTGTGATTCTATTCAATCCTCTCTTTTTTACTATACTCTAAGGTAATGAAATCTTTGTCCTTGGTTTTAATAACCACATGTAAATACATAAGTCCCACATTTATTGATTGATCTGCTTTCCTGTGAAATCTAACTATTCAGTTGCCTATCATAGAACTCTACCTGGATGTCCCATAAATCTCTAAAATGCCTGAATTTCAGTTCCTAAATATGTCAAAAACCTATCATATTCCCAATGTCCCAACTATTATTTGTTAGACCAGTCTTTTTCTTTTCTTTTCTTTTCTTTCTTTTCTTTTCTTTTCTTTTCTTTTCTTTCTTTTCTTTTTTCTTTTTTTTGAGAAGGAGTCTTGCTCTGTTGCCCAGGCTGGAGTGCAGTGGTGTGATCTCGGCTCACTGCAACCTCCATTGGTTCAAGCGATTCTCCTGCCTCATCCTCCTGAGTAGCTAGACCAGGCTTTTTCTAATAAAGTGGAAGGATAAATGGATTGATAGATTGGATAAATGGAAACATGATCTCTAATCTGCCATCACAACCCAGTTAGTTTCTCCATCCCTGACCCATATTTGCTGTTGCTGATAGTAATTTCTTACATCAAAAATCTCTTAAAATTATTATTTTCAGTAAAATTTGTCATTGTTTCCTCTCATGCACAGGACAACAGCTCAAATTTCTTAGCATTGTATATAGGTTTGCCATGAGTAGACCCCACTCAGGTATCTTCTCTTCCACACCTCACACCCTCATCTCCTCTGTTGGCCTACTAAGTTTCCAATGTACCTCTAATTCCTGCTCTGGTACTGCCTTCACCTCCAAACAGTCCTTGAAAGTCCCATAGCAAGTTATTCACTGCCTTCACGGCAGGGCTTCTGTGTCTTCTCTTTCACCTCTACTCGCATATCCCACCACAATGTAATCATTTATTTTCATGAATTTTTCTCCAACTAGACTGATGGTTCCATATTTTTACTTTTATGTTTTGTTTTTAAGACAGGGCTTTGTGGTCACCCAGGCTAGAGCACAGTGGTGCAATCATAGCTCACTGCAACCTTGAACTTCCAGGCACAAGTAATCCTCCCACCTCAGCCTCCCACATAGCTGCTACCGTAGATGCCTGCCACCATGTCTGGCTAATTTTTTAAAAATATATTTTTATAGAGTTGGGGACTTGCTTTTTGGAGCAGGCTGATCTCAAATTCCTGAGTTCAAGTGATCTTCCCGCTTCAATCTCCTGAGTAGCTGGGACCACAGGCGCGCACCACCACACCTGGCCAGGGGTTCCCATTTATCTTTGTAGCTTCAGCACTTATATTGGTGTCTACCGTATATATCACAAATTTGTTATTAAGTGATTGTAAAGGTTAATTATAGAAAAGAAGCAGAACAATCAATTCCATAGAACAGAAGTAAGGAAAAAGAGCTCTAGATTTGGAGAAAGAAAAGAGTTCAAATCTTGATTCTATCCTTGTGGTCTTTAGCAAATCATGTAATCTCAGTGAGGTGAGGCTATCTCATCTGTAAATTTAGAAAATAATACTTTATAAAAACATAGTAGTTAGGCATATAAAATCTGTAACATAGTGCCTGATACGCAAAAGCCACTGGGCAAAAAGTGGTATATTATTTTGGATTCTTTATGGTAGATCCTTCACTTAAACAGTCTTTCCTAACAGCTAATTGTTGAAAGATTGCAAAATAAAATATTATCTGAGCTGGGTAATATTTTGTGTCAATTAAAAGTAATCTATTATTATAAAATTAACATATGAATCTACAAAACAAATTTATATCCCTTTATGACTGAGTCCATCTCAATATGTCTGTGTTCTAGTTTTTGATATGAGAGGGGTTACATAGGCAAAAGTATATGGGGTTACTTAGACTAAGGGTTCCTGATGAAGGGGGTAGGAAGATAAGGGATGGAAAATTCTTAGAAATGTTCACAGAAGTTGATGACTCTAAAACCTTGAACCAAAATAACTGAAATGTAATATTGTAATATAAATACAAATAATAATTATTGACAGCAATAAGGCCGATACATTATACTATCAGTGAATACTGTTAGTCACAAAATGTTCATTTGTGCTAGAATATAGAGAATGCAGTTTTATTCTGCTGAAAATTACACGTTAAGGAAAAGGAGCTGAACAAGAAGTGCTGCTGGTCAGAATCTCCTAGACTAACACTAGCTGAGAAACTGCTGCACTGACAGGAATCCACAGGAATTATTTCACGTGCTTGTCTTAGAGTACACAACTTAACCTTCCAACTGACATTTGACCGTAGTCTAGGGTCAATGCTTGACATATTAGACACATCTTATAGTGAATTTTGTTAGTAGTAATTGTTTCCTTTTCCAGTTTATGTTTTTGTATCAAGAAACATTACCATAATTTTGATATTGGCATTACTTATTATATATGATAGTTCTTCGTACTATTCTAGGCTTGTAAATTAACCGGCGTAGTATATTGGGTCTACATTCAAAACTTACAATCTCAGTGGCTTAACATAAGTAAAGTTGATGTCTCATTTAGTTGCAGTGGTTAATTGCGGGTAATTCCGGTGTGCGTTTATTTCCATTCTGCCATTCAGGGCAGCAACCTTCTGCCATCTGACAGCTCCAAGTTCCTTGACGGGTGTGTGCAATCAGTTGGTGAAGAATGAGCATGAAAGAGGGTGGGTGTTAGGGTTCTAAAAGGGAAGACCTGGAAGTGATACATATAATTTCTGCTGGCATTCTATTGGCTAGATAGAGCTCAGGCACATGGCCAGACTGGAATTGAAAGGGACTAAGACATATACCTTACTTATGCAATAACAGAGGAGAAAAGGGCATCTGTTTCATGAACAGGTGGGGAAGACTTTCAATAGAGTTTCCTCAAATTTATTCACGTTTAGGTATTCGTTGTTTTTTTTTTTTTTTCCAAATACCAGCACCTCCCTCAAGGATTTGGCAATGATACACATCCTTATCATTCTATCCTCCCATTACTGCTTGTCCATTTCAAATAATAATATTATTAATAATCATATCTGTTATATTACTTTTATATCTATCACTTTATAAAACCTGAACCTATTCTCCTGGAGAAAGATTGTCTCAATTTTATAGAAGAAGAATCTGAGATCAAGAGAGTTCCAAAATAACCTAAGAAGTTAAGCAAAGATTAAGATGCTATTTTCCAAGCAGTCCTCGTGTTAGATATCATTTTATGTAAAAATGAGATAGTGGATGATTTTTATGCTGATTTTTATGTTGTATTTCATATACATGCAAATGTGATCCTTACTATTGAAAAAAGTATGTATCTTTAAATATATATATTTTATTTTTTATTATATATCTATTTATTTTTGTCTTTATATGATATTAAATGGTGGGAATAACTTTTTGTTATTTTAGTCTTGATAGACATGAAAATCTTTGTTTTATTTTTAAGTTTATGAATGTTCTTGACAAGATGCTTCAGAGTAATTTACTGAAAACCATTACAGGTGACAATTCTACTTCCACAGAAAAAAATCACTTTACATTTTGAAAGACAGAACTCGAACTTCGGGTGCCAACTTTGCAAAGGATATGACATCGTTTTCATAATTTTATTTTAAATATCTTAATAAAGTAGACTATTTCAATTTTTGGCATTTAAGTAAAGCATTTTCAGTTAAAACTAGCATAGCTTTTCTCATTGGGTAATTTTAAAGTACATTTTCTGGTCATAATTATGCCTTTCAACTAACCAATATTAAGGCTGAAATAAAATATGACATTTTAAGTCATGCAAATTTTTCAGTTATACCAGGACAAAAGACTAAAAATATGAACAGAAACTATCACTGATATATTTGACATTTAAATATTTAGCAGGTTTTCCCTTCTTGAACTGAGATAATTATTTCTGAAATCGTACTGGATATATTTTAAATAGAATATTCTAAACTCTGACTAAATTTGACATCTCTAATTGAGATACTTATTTTTATGTTTTAGTTTTTTGACATGAGAATATTGACTAATTTATACTTGCTTAAATATCTTTATGGAATTATATATTTCTTCTCTGGAAAAATTAGAAGCCCAAACTTGTGAAGTGTAGATCACTCTCTGATGTTTTGTATTCTAATTTTAACTTTGCCTTCCTTTACTTTTCCTATCCTTATTTCTCTCCTATTTTATTTTGTTTTTCACCTTATATTACATGTATATTTTATAAGCTGCCACAAATTTTTTATAAGAATTACATATTTATGTACCAGTTTCTTGAAGCAAACACAAAACGATAAATCATAGTTAGTCATTAATATTCTCTGCTTAGCCTGTGTGAGAGGCTTTCATAGTATTTTGCTAAAAGATGAATAATTCCAGAGACTCACTTAAGATATTAATGCAAACATGCTAAGTCGGTTTGTTAATCATTAAAAGTAAATATTTGGATGAAGGTGTACTATAAAATAGATGCCCTTCAGGTGCCATCAACTCATTCTGATTGTGTAACCCAGAGATCAAATTATAATTCAATTTTATTTATTTATTTTTATCAACATTTTATTTTGGGATAATGATAGATTTGCATGCAGTTATGCAAAATAAAACAAAAACATCGCCCTGCTTTACCTAGTTTTCCCTAGTGACAACATCTTTCAAAACTCTGGTACAATATGATACCCAGGACATTGACATTGTTAAACCAGAGATACAGAACATTTTCATCACCATGAGGATCCCCCATATTCGTTTTCTAGAGCTGTCCTAACCCCTAACCAATGACCACAAGCTGGACAGCTTAAAACAACTGATATTTATTCTCTCACCGTTCTGGAGGCCAGAAGCCTAAAATCAAGGTAGCAGCAGTGCTGCATTCCCTTCCAAGGTTTAGAAGTGAATCCTTCCTGGCCTAGTCCAGCTATTGCCTTGCCTATTTTGCTGGCTTCAGGTGTTCCTGGACCTGTGGTTGTAAAACTTCAATCTCTGCCTCTGTCTTCACATGGCCTTCTCTCATCTCTTCGGCTTATTACATGGGCACTTATACTGGATTTAGGGTCCACCCAGATAATCCAGGATAATGTCATCTTGAGATCTTTAATGACATCTGCAAAACCCCTTTTTCCACATAGGGTCATATTCATAGGCTTCAGGCATTAGCATATATTCATATGCTTTATTAGTGTGGGCGGGGAATACAGTTGAACCCACTCATTTTACCCTTTTATAGCCATACCCACTTCCTTCACCTCATCCCCTCCTTAATTCCTGGAAATCACTAATATCTTTTCCATTTGGTAATTTTGTCGTTTCAATAATGTGACTTCAGTGGAATCGTGTAGCTTTTTGGTATTGATTTCTGTCAGCAGGCATCATTTTCTGGAGAATTATCCAGGTTGTTGCACATATCAATAATTCTTTCCCTTTGATCACTGAATAGTATTCCATCGTATAGAGGTACCGCAGTGTGTTTAACCCTCCATCTGGTAAAGGATGTCTGTCTGGATAGTTTTTAGTTTGTGGATATTATGAATCAACCTATTATAAACATTTGTTTACTCGTTTTTGTGTCAACATAAGTCTGTATTTCTCTGAAATAAAAGGCTAGGAGGTCAATTTTTGGGTTTTAATGCAAGTTTACTTTTTTTAAAGAAACTGCAAAACTATTTTCCAGAATGTATCTACCGTTTTATCTTTCCATCAGCATTGTGTGAGTGATCCAGTTCCTTTGCAGCCTCACCAGGATTTAGTGTTTTTACTGTCTTTGATTTTAGTTTTTATGAAAGATATGCAGTGATATCTCATTACGGTTTTAATATTAATTATCCAAATGGCAAATAATTTTGAGTATCTTTTCATGTGTTTTTTTGCCATATGTTTTTCATTTTCTGTGAAATTTCTTCATATCTTTTGCCTATTCTCTCTTTGTTTTTGTTACCGTTGAGTTCTGTTTTTTGAGACAGAATCTCTCTCTGTCGGCCAGGCTGGAGTACAATGGCGCGATCTCAACTCACTGCAACCTTCGCCTCCCGGGTTCAAGCGATTCTACTGCGTCTGCCTCCCAAGTATTAATTTAAATAATCAATTAATTAATTAACCATGTCCTGCTAGTTTTTGTATTTTTAGTAGAGACAGGGTTTCACCATGTTGGCCAGGCTGGTCTTGAACTCCTGACCTCACGTGATCTGCCTGCTTCAGCCTCCCAAAGTGCTGGGATTACAGGCATGAGCCACTGCAACTAGCTACTACTGAGTTTTGAGAGTTGAAAAAATAGACCTAGATGTTAGTCCTTTTACCTATATGTAGATTTCAAATATTTTAGCTGCCCAGTAACTGATCTGTTACCCTCTTTACAGAGGTGTTTTTTTTTTTGCAAAGTAAACATTTTGATGAAATCCAATTAACTATTTTTTCTTTGAGAGACCATGATTTTGATACCACGACAAGGAACTCTTCGTTTAGCCCTAGACACTGGAAATTTTCTCCTATATTTATTCTAAAAGTTTTACAGTTGTTTTACATTTATGTCTCTGTGTGGCCTTTCTTGAGTTAATTTTTTAATAAGATGTAAGCCTTACATTAAGATACTGTTTTTTGGTCTGTGGAGTTCGATGGCTCCAGTACCATTTGTTGAAATGCTTTTGCCCCTTCTTAAGAGATTAGGTGAGTGTATTTGTGTGTGTCTATTTCTGGGCTCTCTGTTCTGTCCATTGGCCAATATTTCTATCTCTCCACCAACACCAAACATTCTTAATGAACACAGATGTAAAGTAAGTTTTGATACTGGGTATTCAGATTCCACCTACTTTATTATTCTCTGTAAAAATTACTGTAGCTATCCTAGGACCTATGCCTTTCCAGATAAATTTTATAACAATCTTTTCTATACCTACGAAACATTTTGCTGAGATTTTGATCAGAATTGCATTAAACCTCCAGTATAAATTTAGAAAGAATTGACTACTTACTAAGTTTACTCTTTCAATTCAAGAAACTAAGTTTACTCTCTGTTAGTTGGATCTTATTTGATTTCTTTTAGCAGTGGTGTGTAGTTTCAATTTATACCTAAATATTTCATTTCATTTTTAGTGATTATAAATGATATCACATTCTTTGGTTCATTTCCCATGTATTCACTGTGAATATATAGGAATATAACTTTTTAATATACATCTTGTATTCTGTAAACTTGCTGAACTTACTTACTGTTTTTAGGAATATTTTTGTAGATTCCTTGAGATTTTCCATGCGAACAACCAAGTCATCTGTAGGCAGGGACATTTGTTTCTTCCTTTCTGCTTTGTGTTTGTTGTTATTATTATTATTTGCCCTACTGCACTGATTAGAATTTCAATCACTGTTAGATAAGTGTGGTGAGAGCATTTTTTCCTTGTTCCTGACCTTAGAGAAAAAGCATTCTCTCTGTCATCATTATGAAAATACCCACAGGTTTTGTAGATGTTCTTTATCAGGTTGAGAAATATCCCTCTCTATTTCTAGTTTTCTGAGAGTTTTATTATAAATGGTTTCTGAATATTTAAAATGCCTTTTCTGCATCAATTGTATGACCATGTGATTTTTCCTCTAATTGGAAAATTAGAAGAGTTTTGTTAATTCTGTTAATATGGGGGCCTACACTATTTGATTTTTGAATACTGAATTGCCTTGTTTCCTTAGAATAGAAGATACATGGTTATAATATATAATCCTTTTGATATACTGCTGAATTTTATTTCAATTTACTAATATTTTCTTAAATATTTTCTGTCATATTTATGAGGGTTATTGATATGTTGCTTTCTCTTTATTTCCTTATATTTTATTTTTAACAATTTTATTCTGGTTTTGATATGAATCAAAACCAGAGTAATACTAGCTTTCTAAAGTCTATCAAAAAGTGTTCCCTCCCCCTCAATAATCTGGATTCTTTAGAATTGATGTTAATTCTTCTTTAAATAATTTCTCCGGTGAAACCATCTGGGCTCAGAGATTTCATTTTGACAATGTCTAATTATGAATTCAGTTTCTTTACTACTTAAAAGACTATCCCAATTAGCAATTTATGTTGAGTCAATTGTGGTAGCTTTTCTTTTTTTTTTTAAAGAAAGTGGTCCATTTCATGTAAGGTATCAAATTTATGTGTCTAGAGTTGTTCATTGTAATCTCTCATCATCCTTTTGATGATTGCAGGATATAGTGAAGCATCTTTAGTGCCATTCTACATGCTGGTAATTCATGTCTTTCTCTTATTTTTCATCATTCATGTCAATTTTGTTGATCTTTCAAAGAACTAGCTTTTTTGTTCATTGATTTTTTATATTGTTTTGCTGTTTCCAATTTCATTTGTTTCTGCTCTTAACTGTCTCATAACTTTATCATTTTTTTCTTTCTGATGTTTTAAAATTACTTTTCTAGATTCTTGGGATGCAAACTATGATAGCTGATTTGAGATTATTTTTCTTTTCTAATTACGCATTTAGTGCAAAAATTCCTTTAACACTGCTTTATCTGTGTCACATAACTTTTAATATGCATTATTTTCTATTTATTTTCCTTGATCCTTCCCCTTTGATAGTGAGATTACTTAAAAGATTGTTGCTTAGTTTCAATGTGTTGGGTGATTTTCCTGTGGTTCTCAGAATTACATTATTTATACATAACTCATAACACTCCAGTAGTGTCCTTATTTCATCAGTTCAAATGAAGTAGGGAAAACTTACTTCTTTTATGCTCCTCTATTCTTCCCCATTTATAATATATTTGTCATAAATATTTCATCTGCATTCATATAGAACCACTTGAGGCAGTGTTATAATTCTGGCTTCAAACATCAAACCCACTCTCTTAAAGTCAAGAGGAGATGGAAAGCCTATAATATTTACCCATATTTGTTTTAATCATATGATTTCTTCCTTCCTGATGTTCCAAGATTCCTTTTTCTATTTTTTCCTTTCTGTTTAGAGAACTTCCTTCAGTCATTATTTTAGGGTATGTCTGCTGGTAATAAATATTCTTAATTATATATCATCTGAGAATGTCTTGATCTTCCCTTAATTTCTGAATGACATTTTCAAGGCTATAGGATTTGGTGTTGACGGTTCCTTTCCTCCAGCACTTGAAAAATATTGTGTCCTATTAATTTGGCTTCCATTGTTCCAGATCAGAAACCTACTGTGATTATGAATTTCTCCTGTAACTAAGGTGTCATTTTTTCTTTGGCTACTTTCAAGATTTTTCTTTGTTTTTAGATTTCAGAAGTTAATTGTTTGATGTGGATTTCTTTGGATTATTTTGTTGAAGGTTTGCTCAGCTTCTTGATTCTGTAGTGTCCTGTATCTGGCCAAACATCATTATTTTTTAAGTCATTATTTTTCAAGTAACTTTTTCACCTTTGCACCCTTCCTCCTCTCCTTTAGGGACTCTGGTTGCATGATTTTTTTTTCTCTAATATCTTTTTTTTCTTTGAGACTGAGTTACACTCTGTCGCCCGGGGTTGGAGTGCAGTGGTGTGATCTTGGCTCACTGCAACCTCTGCCTCCCAGGTTCAAGCAATTCTCCTGCCTCAGTCTCCCAAGTAGCTGGGATTACAGGTGCCCAACACTATGCCCAGCTAATTTTTTTTTTTTTTTTGTATTTTTAGTAGAGACGGGGGTCTCACCATGTTGGCCAGGCTGATCTCAAACTCCTGACCTAGTGATTTGCCCTCCTGGGCCTCCCAAATTGCTAGTATTACAGGCAATTACAGGCTTGAGCCATCACACCTGGCCTTTTTCTAATATCTTTTGTTATAGTCCCTTAGATCTCTGATGCTCTGTCATTTTTGTTATTGTTTTCCAGCTATCTTTTCTCTGTTGCTCAGACCGGGTAACTTTTCTTATTCTATCTTCCAGTTTCCTGATCTTTTACTCTATCTCCTCCATTAAGCTGTTGAGTCCAAACACTAAACTTTCGCATTGATTATTAATTTTTAAATATTCAAATTTCCCCTTTGTTCTTTATATCTCTTTGCTGGCACTTTCTATTTGTAAGTGCTCCTTGAAACATTTTACAATGGCTGCCTCACAACGTTTGTAGGTAATTCTATATCTGTTATCACATATTTATAATTGCTGACTGTCCTTTTCATTCAGCTTATATGTTTGTTTATTTTGACACAGAGTCTCACTCTGTCACCCAGGCTGGAGTGTGGTGGCACAATCATGGCTCACTGCAGCCTTGACCTCCCAGACTCAAGTGATTCTCCTGCCTCAGCCTCCAGAGCAGCTGGAACTACAGGCATGCGCTGCCACACCTGGCTAGCTTTTTAAAAATTTTAAGTACAGATGAGGTCTTGCTATGTTGCCCAGGCTGGTCTTGAACTCCTGAGCTCAAGTGATCCTCCCGTCTTGGCCTCCCAAAGTGCTAGAGTTACAGGTGTTACCTACCATGCCTGGTGCATTTGGTTTTAGGTCTTCCTGGATCTTGGTATGATAAGTGATTTTCAATTTAAAAGTGGACATTTCCAATCATGTGATGAAGCCTGTATTTAAACCGTGCATTTTAGCTGGCATGATCTGACTCCACTCTGACAGAATGGGAGGGTGCCACTTCATTGCTGCCTGGCGGAGTGAGAAGCCCAGATCCCCTGTGGCCAGTCTACGCGGCCAGTCTATGTGACCAGTCTATGGGACTCTCCACCGGGCTCTGCTGACTCCATCATAATGGGCAGGGTGGTGGAGGGGGGCTTGTTCTTGTGTGGTGAGGATGCAGCACTAGGATCCTCACATCACATAAACTGACACTATGGCCGGGAGTGAGGGGAAGGGGCATGGGGATTTCTTACAGCGAGAGAAGATGAACATCAAGTTTCCTATCTGGCTCTCTCTCACACCAACCACCCCAGCAGGGTTTGGGGAGCACATCGTTATGGCCTCGAGAGGAAGAAACTTTGTGCCCCCCAATTGATACGTATTGTGGGAGTGAGAGCGGGGCCACAGTTTTTTTCTGTGGCATTTGCTGGAGTTGATGGGTTGTTGTCTAGAAGTATGATGTCTTTCTAGGCAGGCCCGTTCCTCACCCTTTGGCTAGAAAGAGCAGACTTTTGTCGGGGTGTGGTTTTCTCTGTGCTCTTGGTATCTCCAGGTTGTTGAATTCTTCAGCAATAAGGCTCAGATATGTGAGATTAAAGGAAGATCCAGGAAACTCACCACTGAGTTCTTCCTAGGGTTCCAAAGCCACTGGCTGGTCTGATTTCTCTCTATCTTTCAAAATCTTCTTATTGTTTTTTCTTATATGATGTCTAGGGTTTTCATTCCTTGTTAGAAGGAAATATAGAGAAAAAAAATATATTTCCTCCACCTTGCTGTAAGTAAAAGTCCGCTTATATTTATTTTTAAAATTAGATTGAGAGACCTCATTTTAAAATAAAGGCTAATTTGCTATATCCAATATCTCTAATGAAATATACGAGCTTAGTTCCTCCATTTTTTGAGTTGTTTTTATTAGAAATATCTGCGTCATCTGTTAGAGCTTTCATTTAATGTCAAAGATTTATGTTTTTTCATTGGTAAATTAAACTTTTTAAAATAAAAATCCTTAGAAAATTACTTAAAGGCTATTATTATCACTTAGATAGGAAGAGTAGGTTGTATTGGAAAATCCACAGACATTTTACTTACATTTTTTGTCTCTAAGGAATTGTACAATGATAATCAATCTAAAATATTTTTTGTTTCTGTATTAAGAATCCATGTTCAATTAAATATATATTATAAAGCATTATTTTATATAAGATAAATGTATGCCATGTTCTCTTTGCTCAATGAATGTGTCATATTATCCATAATTCTATATTTTTTTGTAAGTACATCATATATACTGTACTTCTTGTTGGTGTATTAGCTATTATTTCTTTCATTTTATGCTATTTTCATAGTGTGGAGAGGTTCAAATTGTGTTCAGAATTGCTCAAATTAAAGTAGCCATTCTGACTACAGAGCTTTGCCTGCTAAGTTTCTAGATTTAGTTATGGGTTGTTTATTTCTCTTGCTAGAAGCAAAATTTTATGCAACCCCTAAGAGAAAAGATCAGAAACTATTTCAGAGTTATTATTACACAATGCAGAGGCTGTACAGAGAGTCATCTCTCAGCCTTGTTTAGATGATTGAGAGTGAGGATCAAAAAGATGGGCCAATGGGTCTTGCAGTGTCTAGCATGCCTTGTGATGAACGAGCATTAGACTCTGCAGGAGTCTAGTTTAGGGTCTGTCTCCACAGAACCTTGGTTTTCTGTGATAGAGAAAATCTTTTCATTTCCCATTATTTTTTAAAATACCTATCATCCCCACTGTCCCTCTGTGCCAGTCTCTCTCTCTTCTCTACATTCCAGTCTATTGCCTTATTTCTCCTTGTATATTGACCCACTCCATTCTTAGTTTTTATTATCCTTTGAAAATACATCCACTTTGTCCAAGTTTGTTATATTTATATACCGAGAGAAAATAACCTGATAAACAATTTGATGCAAACATTTCAGTAACAGGTTAGCAGTCTAGTTTCCAAAGATATATAGTAAGTGTTCACTCTGAAATCCCTACATCGAAGCCTTGTTTCTTAAACTGTAAAGTGCAATCAGCATTCATTTAAAAGAATGTATCACTGTATTTTCTGTCCATGTATTTTGGTATAGATTCGTACAGAAGAGACACATGTAAAAATTCTAACTTGATATAGTTGGTACCAAAAATGGCCT
Organism: Homo sapiens; assembly: GCF_000001405.40. NCBI lineage: Eukaryota > Metazoa > Chordata > Mammalia > Primates > Hominidae > Homo > Homo sapiens. The sequence continues at coordinate 180,262,984 of NC_000004.12, read as the reverse complement.
GGGCTTCAGAAACACTGTGTGTGTGTGTGTGTGTGTGTGTGTGTGTGTGTGTGTGTGTGTGTGTGTGGTGTGTGTGTGTGTGTGCTCTTTAAACCTCCTATGGGAAAAAAAATTGAAGTATACGGAAGATAAACTTTCAGCCAACAAAGTTTTGTCAATAAAATAGTCTCACGTGCTTTGTTCTTGGAATAATTTTGGTGTAAAACTTACAATTGTTTGGAAGAAAATTGCAAAGGAAATATTACGGATTTTATAGATAGCAGATTGTTCAATTTTTAATAAATAAAACCTAGAATTGTTAGTTATAATAAATATCCCATTCACAAAAATTGATACTCTAAGCACAAAAACCTCAACAGATGAATACACCGTAGACCTTAACAGAGAGTATTGAGACTGGAGTTGGTAAGCACAATTTTATCTAAATAAATATATAAAAATTGAGAAGTGGCTAATAAACACATGGAAAGCGTTCAGTTTAACTATTAACTGAAGAAATTAAAATTAAAATAAGAAAAAGATTAAATTTTCACTCATCAGATTTCATAGTCAAACTTTAACAAAAAAGTTCTTAATATAGGCACTTACAAACAATGCAAAGATTGAATGAAATACACACTCAAAATTTTTTTCTGTAATGTAATTTCTCAACTCATACCAAATACCTTCAAATAAAGAGTTCATAAGATATGAAATAAACCATGTCTAGGAATACATCCTAAGGATATATCAAATTTGGACAAGGTTTTATTCTCAAAGAAGTTTAATGTCAATTATTTTTTGTATCTGTGGAATTGAAATTAATATATGTGTTCAAGACTATCAATTTGAAGTTAAATACAGTACATGGCATGATAAACTATTATCTGGCCATTGAAAAAAATACTTTTTAATGACGTGAGAAAATAATTACCATACAATATTAAATTTAAAAGTACACAATCAATCATGCATGCCAAAATGCTTAAAAATTGCTTAACTTTGGCAAGTCAGTCAGTGATAACTTGCATTTCCTTCTCTACCCCTTCCTATAATATTTAAATTCACTTGAATGCAAAGATATTGCATTCATAACATACACTAATCTTGAGGATAATACAAACGATCCTTTTTTATTGTGTATGGAAATAAACTCTTCTAATGGCAGAATAGACTGAAAGTTTAACTTATATACTTAATCTGAAGTAAGTATATGCAACATAAAAGAAGATATATGAAAAAGAATGGGAAGGAAGCAAGTGCCAGGAATCTGCAGCTGGATTTGAACTAGACTTAGAAATGTTTTAGAAGTGGAGACAATCCATTGAAAAAGAATTCCAAATAAATGATAACATTTTTGTGTGATGTAGGCTGAGTTTTCCAAGCACTGGAGCTTGACCTGTCTTGAGGAATCCCTGCTGTGGAGGTTTGATCTCCTCCTTGCAGGGATCTGGGGCTCCTGGTGGTGCTGTGGCAGCACTCCGTGGGGAGAGCTGCTGGAAGCCCAGGGAAGGGTATGAAAGCTCACAACACTTCACCTAGCAAAGGATAACTCAATCAAAGAGATGAGAAGAACAGAGTCTTGGTTTTGTTTTGTTTTCTTTTTTCTTCCCAAAACACGTTAGCTGACAAGGCAGACTTAGAGAAAAGAGTAGCATTATGTGAAACAATAAATTGAGAGCTGCTTGGAAAGCTTTTTTAAAAGCCATAGAAATGCCTTCCTAATATTTTTAATGCCAAAATTTGGAAGATGAAGAAGATAACAAAAAGGAAAATATTTTTATTTAAATTATATATATACACATTTTTAATTAATATCGTGTATGATGTGGCTTTTTAAAAATTAATTTGCCTGAAAAGTTTTCTTTCGCCATATGTTTTATTTACAATATAATTTCTCTCTCTACTCAGTGATTTTTTTTCTCTCTCTGTCCATCTACAACAGAGAAAAAAGGACATGTATTTTAATATTTACCTGAATCTTTGATTTTGGACCCATTTCAGATACGTTTATGAATATTTTATTTATTTTTACTTTGCAACTTTGGAGAGTGTGGAATTTAAATATTCTTTTTGTCATTGCCTATATTAGGAAACCAAAATTTTCAGGGGTAAAGGACAAGCCAGCTGGAGGTAACCCTGGGGTTTTAAAGTATTTTCTTGTCATTAAAGCCAATTCATACAAGCAGATAATCAACAAAGTTAAACTAAAATAATTTTAACATAATTTTCAAGATGTAAAAAGTTACCATAAAATCTATCCTATAAGATATAAACTTCCGAAATACCAAGAAATATCTAGCATTATATTCATTTCAATAACAACACAAAACAAATATAAGACAATTTCTACTGAAAACATCTGCTGTGAAGCCTTGCATTTTGGGAGGCAGAGGCGACGGGATCGCTTGAACCCAGGAGATCAAGAGCAGCCTGGGCAAAATTTTTTAAAATTTTTTAAAAATTTAAAAAATTATCCAGGCATAATCTCATCTACTTGGGAGGCTGAGGTGGGAGGATCGCTTCAGCCCAGGGGATTGAGGCTGGAGTGACCCAAGATCCTACCACTGCACTCCAGCCTGGGTGACGGAACTAGACCCTGTCTCAAAACAAACAAACAAACAAAATCTGCTGTGTCCATTGTATTCGTAAAACCAGTAACTATTCCACCACTGGTTCCAAAGAGGCAGCTTCTGCTCAGCTGTGTGCTTTCTCAGGGGAGTAAGCCAAGGCTGCCCCAACAAGCATTATCCTGGGGGCCTTACTCCTTCCCTCACAAGGGAGGTGGGTGACTCATTCCATCTGATAGGATTGTGAGAAAGAACTTTTCTTTTATTATTATTATTATTATACTTTAAGTTTTAGGGTACATGTCCACAACGTGCAGGTTTGTTACATATGGAAAGATCTTTTCTAAAGCACGGTCTGCGTTTCTGTTTTCTGGGAGGGTTATCTCCCTTCTTCCCTCCCTCACTCTTTCAAACATTAAAGCTGCATACTCCCAAGCACAGGGAGCTTCTTCACAGAAGACTTAGTTTTAATGCTGTCTGGCAGGCCCTAAGGGCTGAAAGGCCCACCTCTTGGCTACTCTGTTCAGTCAATAACCAAGTAGTGAAATAGGCTCCTGTTTTCATAGGGCTGGCTGGGTAAATGTCTTTATGGTGGAAACAGCCTTCTCTCCAGTCTAATCCTGCTAAATAAAATAGAGAATACCCAGTTAAATTCAAATTTTAGATAAACAGTGACAAATTTTAATATAAAGATGTCTCAAATATTGCATGTGATATACTAAGAAGGTATACTTGCTTATCTAAAGTTCAAATTTAAATTTGTGTTTAGTATTTTTACTTATTAAACCTGACAGCCATAACCTAGGCAGCCTTCAGAATCTAGATTTGGGATAGTAAAAAAGAAGAGGGTACCTAAGTAATATTCTATGAGACTATTCAATGTCAAAACTTTGTAGTCTAAAAGTTTATCTTTTATATGTTTCCAATTTTCCACAAAAAGTTTAAAACACAGAGATACACAATGTGTATTAATGTGTGTCTGTTAGATCAGAAACTAATTCAGAGCTATTATTTGGCGAATGCAGAACCCGTCCAGAGAATCATCCCTCCTCCTTATTGAGATGATTGGGAGTGGGGATGAGAAAGATGGGCCAATGGGTAGTGTAGTGTCTACTATAGCTCATGATTAAAGAACATTGTACTGTGCAGGATCCCAGTTTAGTGTTTGGCTCCTCAGAGCTTTGATTTTCCAGGATAGAAAAATCTCCATCCATTTCCCATTATTTTTTAAAATACATGTTATTGGCCAGGCACAGTGGCTCATGTCTGCAATCCCAGCACTTTGGGAGGCCGAGGAGGGTGGATCACCTGAGGTCGGGAGTTTGAGACCAGACTGGACAAGATGAGGAAACCCCGTCTCTACTAAAAAATACAAAAAATTAGCCGGGCGTGGTGGTGGAGTCCTGTAATCCCAGCTACTTGGGAGGCTGAGGCAGGAGAATCGCTTGAACCTGGGAGGCAGAAGTTGCAGTGAGCCGAGATGGCGCCACTGCACTCCAGCCTGGACAACAAGAGCGAAACTGTCTCAAAACAAAGAAACAAACAAATAAGCAAACAAAAAATGTTTTTTTTCTCTCTCTCCTTCTATTCTAGTCTCTCTCTTCTCTATGTTTTAGGCTATTGTCTTATTTCTCATTAGATATTGACCCACTTAATTCCCAGCTTTTATTATCCTTTAAAAATGTATCCACTTTGTCCAATCTTGCTATTTTTATATACCAAGATGAAATAATCTGAAAAACAATTTGACGCATACATGTCAGTAATGGTTTAGCAGTTTAGTTTTGAAAGATATATGGTAAGTGTTCACTCTGAAATCCCTACATTGAAGTTGTGTTTCTTAAACTATGAAATAAACGCAATCAGCATTAAGAGAATATATCAGCATATTTTCTGTCAATGTATTTTAGTACAGATCCTTATAAAAGAGGAAAATGTAAAAATCCTACCTTGGTATAGGTGGTGCCAGAATTGGCCTAGGCTTCAGAAGCAGTTATTGTGTATCTCTGTGTTTTAAACTTCTTGTGGAAAATTTGAAGCATACACAAGATAAAATTTTAGGCAACAAAAATTTTGACATCAAATAGTCTCATGTGCTTTGTTCTCAGCATAATTTTGGTGCAAAACATAATTTTTTGGAAGATAATCTATATTTTGGGTCAACAAATCTGATCCTACATTTCAGTCACCATCTAAATTAATTAATTACACTGTCTACAACTCAGAGGTGAAGAAGGCAGAATATCTTATTAAATGTTTTATATAGTAATCTAAATATATCATCCCAATCATCCTATTGGACATTACTTTTTTTTTTTGAGACGGAGTCTCCCTCTGTCGCCCAGGCTGGAGTATAGTGGTGCGACCTCGGCTCACTGCAACACCTGCCCTCCTAGTTCAAGCAATTCTCCTGCCTCAACCTCCCGAGTAGCTGGGACTACAGGCGCCCTCCACTGTGCCCGGCTAATTTTTTTGTATTTTTAGTAGAGACAGGGTTTCACCATCTTGGCCAGGCTGGTCTTGAACTCCTGACCTCGTGATCCACCCGCCTCGGCCTCCCAAAGTGCTGGGATTACAGGCATGAGCCACCATGCCCGGCTGACAATTACTCTTTTAACCACATTCTAAAGATGAGAATACTACAGAGTGGACATTTTAGTTTTTCATAAGACCGACAGCTAATACTGGCAAGACTGACCTCCATACTAGTTCTCCTAGACTCTAGAAGATACACCATGTTATGCTGATAAGAAGTGTGTATGCAAGAAAATTAGAGGAGACAAATAAAAATGTATCCCTCTGTGAATGGATTATCTATTGGATTTTCTTATTGTTTCCTGGTGTGTGAATGAATCAATTCATATTCACTGAAAAATGACCCCCTAGAGATGAAATACTCTTCCATATAAATTTAAGGGAGCTAACTAAATCACTCAGCTATCAGAAGTAGTAAAACATTATCCATTTTTTACTGTTCCTAAAAATCATTGTTAAAACTGATGAGCCCTAGTTTTTATCCACAAAGATTATGCTATAGTAGTCGGAATTGGCCCAGGGATCACGCGTTTAGCAGTCTTTCCAGTTGGCTAAGACACATATGTGATCCTCCAACCATACTTTGAGACACAATGAATTAATTGGCTCAGTAAGTCTAGTTTTACATTCTAGGAAGGCTACACATCAGGAACATTTGCTCAGTAAGCAGAAATGAATTACATACTATCCTAAAGGAGTTTCGATGCTCATTTAAACAAGAATGAATTCCTAAAATTTTATTAGTTGCTTTTGTTAAATTAGTCCTTTTCAAACTTTCTGTGCATGAAAATCTCTTGGAGAGCTTGTAAAAACACAAATTCTTGGGCCTTATCTCCAGAGATGCTGGCTCAGTAGGCCTGATATATGGCTCAAAAATTTCCATTTGCGGCAAGCTTCTAGGCAATGCAGATGCTACCAGCAAGAGTTTGAGTACCACTGTGTTGGTTAATATTGTTAGAGGCAGATTTAAAAGATCATCATACCTTTAAAATATGTGGTTATGGAACTCTTTACAGGTAAAAAGGAGGTTTATGGTGAACTTTAAGGATGGTAGAACAACAATAGGTATTCCCAAATAAAATTAAAAGTAAAATTTGCAGAAAGTCAAATGCATAATACAACTTTTGGAAAGTAATTGATACTGTATTAATAGTATGGTATGGTTCAATTGCCTTCTAAAGCAAACATTTGACTGTATGCGTACATCAAAAACACAAAGAGGACAAGTGCTGTGGCTCATGCCTGTAATCCCAGCACTTTAGGAGGCTGAGGTGGGTGAATGCTTGAGCCCAAGAGTTTGAGACCAACCAGGAAAACTTTGTAAGGTGAGACCCTGCCCTTACAAAGAGTACAAAAATTAGCCAGGCATGGTGGCATGCACCTGTGGTCCCAGGTACTCGGCTAATTGGAAAGCCGAGTTGGGAGGATCACTTGAGCCTGGGAGGCGGAAGTTGTAGTGAGCCAAGATTGCACCACTGCACTCCAGCCTGGGCAACACAGCAAGATCTTGTCTCAAAGAAAAGCAAAACAAACAAACAAAAAAAACACTAAGAATTCATAGAATCTGTTAAGGGCAACCAAAATATAGAGAAGTGACTTCTCTTGAGATGCAAATTAAAGTGAATTATTTTTATATCATTTAATCTTTATTTCAGTAGTTATCTCAGTTATGTTTCTCCTTTGTGAAGTAGAAAAATGGATTTTTAAAAACTGTATAATTACACAAAATGCTAAGTTTCCTGAGAGGCTCAAGGCATCCAGCACTCTCCAAAGCACTTCACATCATCAATTTTCTGAGATTGCATCCTTAAGAGAGAGGTGCTTATGTTTTCATTTTAAAGGTAAGATTTAGGCAGCTCAAGTTCTTAGTCAAAAGTCACAATGCTATAAAGTGACAGAGACACCAGCACACTGGGTGTTGCCATCACACTTCAAAGTCCTGTAGTTGTAGAGATTAAGGTAATAGAACATATCAACGTAAAAGTGAAGAAGACACCAAACAAAGAAGTCACGAAGGGACTGACTGCTGCCATTCTTTTGCCTTTTGTTTGTTGTTCGTCTTTCCCCAAGTATTAGAAAATACTGTGGTGTCCATTTCAGCACCAAAGACCTCCTTCTTACATTAATATCAAAGTGTCATTTGTTTCAAGGCCTGGTGCAGTGGCTCACGCCTGTACTCCCAACATTTTGGGAGGCCGAGGTGGGTAGATCACTCAAGGCCAGGGGTTCAAGACCAGCCTGGCCAACATAGCAAAACTCCATCTCTACTAAAAATACAAAAATTAGCCAGGCATGGTGACACATGCCTGTAATCCCAGCCACCCAGGAGGCTGAGGCAGGAAAATCGCTTGAACCCGAGAGGCAGGGGTTGCATTGAGCCAAGATCGGGCGACAGAGCAAGACTCTGTCTCAAAAAAAAAAAAAAAAAAAAAAGGAAAAGGAAAAGAAAGTTTCATTTGTTTTAAAATTAAAACTCCTCAGTACACATTCAGCATTTACTTACCTGTCCCCCTTTTTATTCACTATTTTTGAAGCATTAGTATTTTTTTCACAATGGATTTTTAAGCTTCTTAAATAAGAGAACCAAGGCTGGCTGCAGGTGCCCACACTCTGCATGGTAATGTCCTCCATCTTTCTGAGAATGAAATGGGTCTTCAAGACATTTGCCTCTTGGGAGTATTCTAATATCTGTTCTCACATATAAGGCTCTCAGGAAATACGAGCCAAATCACAGTGGACAAATATATCACCCATCATTGCTCTGAGATGCCATATATGTAGTTACTTAGTTTAGATACTAAAGTGAGTACTTCAACTTTAGTGCTCCAGAAGGCAAAATGACTTAATTACTGCTATGCTTATCTCTATCTATGTATACAATCCAAAATCACCTCTTTTTCTTCTTCTCCCATCTTTTTTTATCTTACATTGTAGTTTTCAGTACTGCTGCTGGACAACAAGAACAATGAGAGGCAGAGATGAGGAGTCAGGGGCGGGAAGGCAGGAGACGCAGGAGAGACTGAACTACTGCACAGAGCATATTGGGGTTTCATTCATACATATTAATCCATACAACTTGCTTTAGATGCCTCTATATTCTATATCCAATATATTCTATATTCTTTAGAAGCATCATATATATAAACTTATATTCTATATTCTATAAGTTTATTTAACAAATTATTACATATAAATTATAGGTACTCCAAATATAATCTTAGTATCACTTAAATATCTTAATCATACGATATCATAATTTTAAATAATATCAAATAATACAATTTATAATTATATTCAGATATTATTTGAAAACCTACATTAGAAGAAGCTTTCAAAAGGAAAAACATCTGATAAAAAAGATAAAAATATTTTAGAAGGAATAACACAAAATTCATACAATATTTTTGCATTTTTAAAATTTAAGCAATTTTAAGTGAAATTCACAAACCTACATAAGATACAAAAAAAACTGTAGAAAAATGTACAGGGACAGATGCTTCCTTATAATCTTTTTTAATCTCCATGTATATCACTTGCCCCATTTTAGAAAATAGAAGCAGGTGAAGAATTTCTTTCTTTCAGTGAATCTATATATTTTCACACAACTTATTTTTTAAAATAGTATTCTTCCTATGAGTAGAATTTTAACATGATAATTCAATCTAGTTAATGATAACTTCATAGTAATTTGTCTGTTAAAGAAAAGGACTAAGACATGGGATGGAGATGGAGTATAATCTCATGGTCAGAGAATGCACTAGACATATTCAATACTTCCAACATTTTATCAATGAATAAATGTGATTCAGAGAAGTTGAGTAGTTTTCCCAATGTTGCATATCTAATAAAGACACAAGACCGCCTGACTCAATGAAGCCAACCCTGCTTATACATGTTTGGAGAACAGTAAGCAATCAGGTTTGCAAGAGTTACGAGAGATGTGACTGAGAGCGAGAGAGTGAACTGGCAGAGAACGGAGGCTGGAGTCATACCGTGCGGAAGGTTGGGTATGGCAGAGTAAGGACTGTGCATTTAACTTGCTAGGAAAGAAGAGTCATGCAAGATTTGAAACAATGGCAACATGATCATAACTAAAAATACATTTTCAGGGAGAAAAACAAGCTGGATACTATGTGAGTACTCAATTTAGATATGATGAATAAATGTATAATGCAAGCATCTTTATAAAAATGGTAGTCTTTTTATAAATATACCTTTCTTTATCTCTGTCATAACATGTAACAATTAATGTCAAATGTTTCTATGACCTCTACTTCCTTACTCAGCAATTTTCAGTATAATACTCTCCCTCACTCTTGGTGTTAACATGTTACTGTAAGCAAAGCATGGATCCTCCATTGTTAGTAGAGGGCAGTAGTATGTTTCCTTTTCATTTTACAGCAGATATACATTGGTAATCATCAATTATTATTATTTTTTTTTTTTCGAGACAAGGTCTTGCTCTGTGACCCAGGCTGGAGTGCAGTGGTGCGATTACGGCTGACTGGCTGACTGGCTGACTGGCTGACTGGCTGACTGCAACCTGCACCTTCTCCTCCACCTCCTAGGTTGAATCCTCTCACCTCAGCCTCCCAAGTAGCTGGAATTCCAGGACTGTACCACTATGCACGGCTAATTTTTTTTTTCTTTTTTGAGACAGGGTCTCACTATGTTGCCCAGGGTGGTCTTTAACTACTGAGCTCAAGCCATCTGCCCACCTTGCCTCTGAAAGTGCTGGAATTACACATGGCCAACTATTTTTTTAAACATGGTTATTAGGAAATATGTTACTTGTATGTGAAATAAGCAAGTATATGAAATGATCTCATTATTTTTAGACAAATTATTTTCTTAAGGAGATTCTAAATGACAAAGTTCAAAATTTGTAAAATACTTTAATTAAATCTTTATTCCAGGAACTATTTTTTCTGGAATTTATATAAATATGGAAGCTAATATTTTATTGCACTTTTAAATATCTATAATTAAATGATTCCGTTTTAGCCTAAAAAATATGCAAAATATTTTCCCAAATGTTTCTAACCGGTATACTTTCTTTGGTTCTTCACAAAATTTTTAACCTAGTGTGTAAGATGTCATTTATAATTTTATAAGGATAAGGAAATGTGATATACATTTAAATTGTATAAATCTACTTTTTATATTACATAAATTGCATTAAAATTTTAATATAAAATAGCATATATAAATTAAAAGTATGTAAAATACATAGGTTTGAAGAGTAAAATGTGATTGATCTCAAAATTAATGAGTTTTAAAATGTCAGCAAGAGTAAATTGAGATAAAATTCCTAGAGAAAAATACAAGTTTAGTAGTATTGAAAATGGTGAATGTAGTAAGAATAATGAAAAGATTTTAAACTATGGAAGTACAAATTGATTTTCTGAAATAATAGTTTACCAATATGCTTTTTTCCATTATTAGTGTAATCACATTAAGTTCATTCGTACACACTTTAAGCATCCATTACCCATAGATACCTCCAGCACTTACACTTACAAATGACCTTGCCTGGCTCTATGGAAGGGTCCTACTCAAGAGTTTCTGCTGTTGTGATATGAACCACTAAAGAGCAACTCAAGCAGTTAGTGAAAGCAGCTGAGGGCGATTTAGCAAGGAATTTTCAATCTATCAGTTTTCCCAAAACTTGCACTACCAATAAATACATAAAATTATGTAAAAACTTATTACATATAAATTATAGGTACTCCAAACATGAGAAACTAGTTATCATATACCATACTGCAATATTTTCTCAATTGCTACACATTAATTTTCCTCTGATTTTTTTACTATTATACTGTCACTAAACTCTAGCCTTATTGTGTGAAGGAAGAAAGTAAGCTGAAATTCCAGATTAAATTTTAAAAATTTCCATTTAAAAATATTCTCTATAAGCAAGTCAAGTGAGAGTGGTATATTCTATAAGCAGATTTTAAGAAAAAGGCTTTTAAATCAATAAACAAAAGCTACAAATATAATTATGTCCAATTATTCTATAAATTTTAGTAATTTTTATTCTACTGCTCAAAGAACACCAACATTAAGCATATTTAAGAAAATGTCCACCTCATAGCATGCAATCCCTGTAAAAATTGATCCTGCAGTGAAATTTTAACACTATTTCAAACCTCACAATCATGTCAGTGATAGCAGACCGAACTGTCATAAACATAGGTTGAAGAAAAAAAGGAAACTTGAATTCCATTGAAAAAGCAATTTGTTCAAAACACATCTTCAAAATCAACAAAAGAGAATTAGGTTTTCATTGTGGATTCATTCTTTTTATTTTTGATTAGCATTCATGAAAGCTTCATTTTTAACCACATCAGGTTCATTATTATTATAAGCAGTTTATATTTTTGCTGCTTTTCAAAAGAACAGTTAGTTGCACAGGTAAAGAATAATACATGATTACTACAAAAGATATATAATTTAAAAATCAAATAAGTACTTGAACATGACAAATACGCCTCAAAGTTAAATCTAGCAAAATGAAAATGACTACATAGGTAATTAAATAATTAACTGCATTTTTGCTGTAATAAGTTCATTTATGCATAGTGCACCATACTAAAAATTATATTTTGCTCAGTTTCATAAGAGCACAGGTTTGTATATCAAAACCTCATTCAAAACTAATGACTGAAATTTATGGAAGAAGTAAAAGATAAGGTTTTCTTTTTTCTTTCTTTTCTTTTTTTGATATTTAAGTCAATAGATCTTTCATAAGTATCTAATAGTTATCTGTATGTAAATTGATGACTTGAGACATGACAATGAAATTAATTCTAGTGTAACAAAAATAGGATATCTGATTATGTAATTCGGAAACTCGATAAATAACTCTGTAAAATCCTCATAAACATCTTCATGATGCAATTTAAAAAGTTTCAACATCTAATATTTAGGATTTTACATATATGTGAAGATTTAGAAAAATCAGCTATCACTTACCTTTACCACGTTATTAGAGTTCCCTTAAAATAGGATAGGACTACTTATCTAACAAGCCTTGAAGAATCATTTCTATGCAGTTATGGGGAAAAGTGCTTAAAAACAAAATGAGCAATTAAATGATTTTCTTTTAAGGACTGAAATAAATTATGCACTTCATTTCACTACTCTTCTTGAATTAATTTAGAAAAAAATTGATTGCTTCATTTTAGGACTTCAAAGCATGCATAGTTTTTGTATATATAGTAGTAATATAATCAGCAGTTTCCATATACTCAAAATGATTAACTGAGAAATACTATGTGTTAAACTGATGTTGCTTAGGTTGTCTGAAATATGCAATACTTGTCATATAAATACACAGTTTAGACTACTTTATGAATTATGTAGTTTTAACACTTCATACAGGAGATGAATCCAGGGTATGGTCCTGTTCTGGTATATTTTATGCACCACAAATGTAAATAATTTGCCTTCCTCCCATACCTGGCTGTCTTTTTTTCTTTTTCTTTTTCTTTTTTCTTTTTTTTTTTTTTTTGAGATGGAGTTTTGCTCTTGTTGCCCAGGCTGGAGTGCAGTGGCGTGATCTTGGCTCACTGCAACCTCTGCCTTCTGGGTTCAAGAGATTCTCCTGCCTCACCCTCCCAATACCTGGGACTACAGGTATGCACCACCATGCCCAGCTAATTTTTGTATTTTTTTCTTTTGCTTCGTATATTTATTTTTTATTCATTTATTATTATTATACTTTAAGTTTCAGAATACATGTGCAGAATGTGCAGGTTTGTTACATACATATACACTTGCCATTGTGATTTGCTGCACTCATCAACCCATCATCTACATTAGGTATTTCTCCTAATGCTATCCCTCCCCTAGCCTCCCACCCCTCAACAGGCCTTGGTGTGTGATGTTCCCCTCCCTGTGTCCATGTGTTGTCATTGTTCATCTCCCACTTATGAGTGAGAACATGAGGTGTTTGGTTTTGTGTTTTTAGTAGAGACAGGGTTTCACCACGTTGGTCAGGCTGGTCTCGAACTCCTGATCTCAGGTGATCCACCCGCCTCAGCCTCCCAAAGTTCTGGGATTACAGGAGTAAGCCACCGTGCCTGACCCCATACCTTACTTTCTACTCACCATTAAAGTAATAAGCTGCAGCACTGAAGGCCCTCAGCCTGGAGAACACACTGTTGTTGTTTTTTGTTTTGCTTTTGTTTTTGTTTTTTTTTGAGACACAGTCTCACTCTGTTGTCCAGGCTGGAGTGTACTGGCGTGATCTCGGCTCACTGCAACCTCTGCCTCCCAGGTTCAAGCAATTCTCGTGCCTCAGCCTCCCTAGCAGCTGGGATTACAGGCACCCACCACCGTGCCCGGCTAATTTTTTTGTATTTTTAGTAGAGACAGGGTTTCACCATGTTGGCCAGCCTGGTCTCGAACTCTTCACCTCAGGTTGTCCTCCTGCCTCAGCCTCCCAAAGTGCTGGGATTACAGGTGTGAGCCACTGCGCCCGGCCTAGAGCACACTATTAACGTGAACTTCCTCCGCTGAGCTTTGACTCAGTGCTTATGTTCTGTAACATACATACAGTAAGATATTCTGAAAAGACCTCACAAATTCTATGCATCTTCCAATTAAGTCTTCCTTGCTCTTTCAGATTCAAATTTTAATTTAAAAATACATATTTTACTAATGAATAGTGATATTTTCATAAATCAGCAATAAAGATCATGAAATTAGCATTTTAAAGGGGTTAAAAATGTAAACTATTAAGGAAATTATGAACATTCATATTTTTAAATGCCATGATATTTTCTGAAATACTTCTGTTGGAGGTTTCTTGTTTGACTAATAATTAAGGGGCTACCCAAAGAAATATAACATTTTGGGAAATAAGTGTTATATTAATTATGTTAATCTAAATTAATAATATGCTGTTTTTATTTTCTAAACAGGAATCAGTATTTACATTGAAAACTATCTTCCCCATATATTTTGGCATTGAATTAATCAGAGGATATACTCAGAAGTTGCCTTCTTATCATATTATTAAACTACAGTATTTTTACAAAATACATTTCCCCTGGATACTATTTCTGATCATTCTTCCAACTAAAACAGTAGAAATCAGTGTAGGACTATTAAGGTGATTTAAAATCTAATGTAGTTTTTAAAATTCCTCAACATTTAATTCTTATAAAACATGTTCTAGCAGAAGTGTCTAATGCAAAGTGAAATGTTTATTTTATTCCTTCTATTTAATTATTTGGACAGTTACTTAAAAATCCTAGCCATTAACTTTCAGTTAAAAATCTAAGTTTGTGCATAAATATTTATTAATAGCTACATTTTTCAAAATGTTGATATTGAGCATGAATAACTATCTTTACAAGAGCCAGTGATACATTATAAAATATTTACTTATATGTATATGTTTATGCATATTGAAACTTTGCTATAATAGACAAGAATTTAATATACACAAAGTCCATCCAAAGATATTTGGGTTTTAAAATATTTAAGTTATTTTACTAAAGCTTATAATAGTCTATATTGTAACAAGATGATTAACGTTATGATCAACAGTGAGTGAAAATCTTTAATAGTAGGTTTCTGAAATAATTAAAAGGAAGGTAGTGAAAATCAGTAAAGCATTCAAGAGAATTCAGAAAAAAATTAAAAAAAAAACCGGGTGGTGATGAAAATGCAAACAATATAATAGTGCAGTTTGAGCTGTGGCCAATATGACCTGAATAAATGTGAAATTAAGATTTTTCTCATACCTTGGGCAGTCTCATTTGACATATTATAAATGGGTAGGCCAGATGGTGTTTGGGCAAACAATCAGCTTCAATTGCAAACCTGTCCTCCCTAACATATACACATACAACACGAGTCTGCTAAGCTATCAAACTCTGTCTGAATAATGATAGGAAAAGAACTAAAATCATCTACACTTCTATAAATAAGTTGATTATATTATTTCATATAAAACATTATATGTAGCAACCTAAAATGTTGCAAATGGGCTCCAATATTTTCTAATCAAAGATTCATGCTACAAAAATGCTCAGTTAATTCAATTTTCAGATCTCTTTGAATGGTATACATATAATTTTACTTCTTATATTGTCATTTTCATAGTGATTAGTGACTACATATATGACTTTGTTGAGGACACTTCAGCTAAGAAAGTTCAAATAGAGCTACAAATTAAAGATTCTGTTATACTAAAGACAACATATTTCATTCCATTTCCTGCATGTTTACCAAAAGAGAACATAGCAGACATTGGGGCCAGTATATGAGTCCAAATCCTGAAACGGAAAATCAACCTGTGTATCCTGGAGGCACATTTGTTGAACATTTCAGTGGCTCAGCTTCTTCATTTGCAAAATGGGCATCATGATAATTACCACACCCACCTGATATGGTTTTTGTAAGTATCACATTCGGCAATACACGTGAAACACACATGACAGTGCCCTGTACCCAGTAAGTGCTCAAGATTTAGGCTCTTTTTCACTCCATCAAGAACTCCCCTTGTTGGGCAAGCAGGAGTGAATTAACATTGTATTTGTAAATTTTTAAAGCTATTTTGTAAATGAAAATTGATTTCCATTAGGAGTACTAATTATAGTTTTCTAATGTGTACATATTTCTTTAATCTCTTACAAAAGAATTTTAGAATAGTATACTGCAAATTAATTATGAATCATTTTGTAAGACTCTTCCAAAATATAATATTATTTATTTGCCTTTTTCTCTCTTGTGGGTGCAAAGTTGGTTCTCTGGAAAAACAAAAAACAGAAAGTTTCATGAGTAGCTCACTCTTGACTAAGTCAATAACAATAATCTGGAAATGAAAGCACACTAAACAAACTAATGTCTCATGTTACCAAAATGTATGACTTCAATAAGTAAAAGACCTGCATCTTTTTTCTCTGACACTGTGTCTATACCATACATAACTGTTATGATGAAAATCATAACATGGATACCCATTTGCATTTTTATTGTCATTTTTGGTGAGTTGTTTTGTTTTTGCTTAATGTAACATACAGTTGTTTTAACTCTTATTTCACTGCTATAAAAAGGCTATTTCATACTAGTCTTCATATCTCTAGTGCCTAGCACATTGCTTGGCATAATTTAAGAGTATGTACAATTTTGTGGAATGAATTCATTAATCAAACAAATCTATCAATCAAATCAAGCATTTCACTAAATTAAGCAATGAATTAATGGTTCATTTTGCTCAGCTTCGAAATAGCTCTTCTGGTTTCTTAGTCAATGAAAATTGATCTCTGGCCCTCTCCATTGTCTGAATCCCTGCATGATACACTGCCCAGGGATTTCTGTCCTCCTATTTGGGGTAGAACCTTGGTGTACTTTTTTTTTTTTTTTTTTTTTTTTGAGACGGAGTCTCGCTCTGTCGCCCAGGCTGGAGTGCAGTGGCGCGATCTCGGCTCACTGCAAGCTCCGCCTCCCGGGTTCACGCCATTCTCCTGCCTCAGCCTCCCGAGTAGCTGGGACTACAGGCGCCCGCCACCACGCCCGGCTAATTTTTTGCATTTTTAGTAGAGACGGGGTTTCACCGTGTTAGCCAGGATGGTCTCGATTTCCTGACCTCGTGATCCGCCCGTCTCGGCCTCCCAAAGTGCTGGGATTACAACTTTTTTTTTTTTAGCTATTAAATTCATGGTTACATATGCAGGTTTGTTATATAGGTAAACTTGTGTCATGGGGATTTGTTGGACGATTATTTCATCACCCAGATATTAAGCCTAGTACTTATTAGTTATTTTTCCTGATCCTCTTCCTCCTCTTACCCTCCACCCTCAGATAGGCCCCAGTGTATGTTATTGCCCTCTACGTGTCCATGTGTTCTCATAATTAAGCTCCTACTTTTAAGTGAGAACATTTGGTATTTGGTTTTCTCTTCCCGCATTAATTTGCTAAGGATAATGGCCTCCAGCTCCACCCATCTTCCTGCAAAGGACACGATCTCCTTCTTTTTAATGGCTTCATAGTATTCCGTGGTATACATGTAGCACATTTTCTTTATCTAGTCTATCACCAATGGACATTTAGATTGATTCCATGTCTTTGCTATTGTGAATAGTGAGGTAATGAACATACAGGTGCATGTGTCTTTATAATAGAATGATGTATATTCCTTTGGGTATATACCCAGCAATGAGATTTCTGGGTCAAATGGTATTTCTGTACATTCTTAACCCTGAGCCTCCAGCAGCTTCTTTCCCACCTGAATTCAGGAAAGGTCTTCATTTTCTGGCCACAGGTTCATCTTCATGAAACTGATTCTGATGTCCTTTGCTCAGGAAATTTTACTTTACTTTGCATGCATATTACTAAGGAAGTCAGAATGTGAAAAAAAAAAGGATTTAAATGGCCACATTTCTAAATATACAAAATTACTAATATATCATGAAGTGTTAAGAATGCACTGAGTTAAACCAATAGAATATAGTGGGTGGTAAATGGCAACGGGACAAAACCCTAAATCAGGTTAATAAAACTACAAATTTAGAAACACACACCCTCCCAAAATGACTGTTCATAAGTTAGGTACTTTTTTTGTATACGATAGAAATGCAGAGAGAATTTTAGGACTAAAGAATCACATTATTATAGGTTTCTAAGATTTATCATGGAAAGGTCTATGACTTCTTTGACTTTCTAGCTTTTCTAGTAAAATGTGTTTGGGGGTGGTTGCTTGGGCTGGTGTGGGCGAGAAAGAGAAAGAGAGAGAAAGAAAGAAAGAGAGAAAGAAAGAAAGAAAGAAAGAAAGAAAGAAAGAAAGAAAGAAAGAAAGAAAGAAAGAAAGAAAGAAAGAAAGGAAAGAAGAAAGAAAGAAAGAAAGAAAGAAAGGAAAGAAAGAAAGAAAAGAAAGAAAGAAGAAAGAAAGAAGAAAGAAAGAAAGAAAGAAAAGAAAGAAAGAAAGAAAGAAGAAAGAAAGAAGAAAGAAAGAAAGAAAGAAAGAAAGAAAGAAAGAAAGAAAGGAAAGAAAGAAAAGAAAGAAGGAAAAAGGAAGAAACCAGAGACCTATAAATGACAGGTCAAATATAAGAGATTGAAGCCGGGCGCGGTGGCTCAAGCCTGTAATCCCAGCACTTTGGGAGGCCAAGGCAGGCGGATCACCTGAGGTCCGGATTTAAAGACCAGCCTGACCAACATGGAGAAACCCTGTCTCTACTAAAAATACAAAATTAGCTGGGCGTTGTGGCACATGTCTGTAATCCCAGCTACTCAGGAGGCTGAGGCAGGAGAATTACTTGAACCCAGGAGGTGGAGTTTGCAGTGAGCCAAGAACGTGCCATTGCACTCCAGCCTGGAAAACAAGAGAAAAACTTAGTCTCAAAAAAAATAAATAAATAAAAATAAAAGAGAGATTGAAAGGTCACAATCTGGATCCTACCTTTGCAACGTAGGATATAGCTTTATATTATATATTAATGCTATGAAACTTCAGAGCTCGTTTCCTCCTAAAAATTATGTGCCTGGATTATGTGATCACAATGTTCATTTCTTATTTTAACTTATTTTATGAATACTAGTCAAACTGAGTACCCATAAATATAGTCTCATGGGGTCAGTTTTTATCTAAAAGATATTTTATGGTGTTTTCATTTGTATTTTTTTTTTTTCAAGACAGGGTCTTACTCTGTCACCCAGGTTGGAATGCAGTGGCGTGACCTCGGCTCACTGTAACCTCTGCCTCCCGGGTTCAAGAAATTGTCCTGCCTCAGCCTCCCAAGTAGCTGGGACTATAGGCGCCCACGACCACGCCCAGCTAATTTTTGTATTTTTAGTAGAGATGGTGTTTCACCATGTTCGCCAGGCTGGTCTCGAACTCCTGGCCTCAGGTGATCCGCACACCTCAGCCTTTGAAAGTGCTGGGATTACAGGCGTGAGCCACTGCTCCCGGCTTCATTTGCATTTCAACTGAAAAATATGTATGCATGAATTTGACCATTTTGACAACTGTATTAACACCAAGCACTGTAACATAATTCCAGTGTCATCAGCTGAATTTTTACTGAGTAAAGTATTGGTAAAAAATGATAACTTTAAGGGTGTAACTTTTTAACACAGTGATTTTTACACTGGGTTTTATAGATATTTTGAAGTGGTAATGCTGTCTTAAATTTAAGAAACATTGTCATATATGATAACATGTGCATGAGAACAAGAACTTACAACTAATATAGGCAGAAATGGGTTTATGTTTCACCTCTGCTGCTTAACTGACCTTCAGATCTTGTTTAAATTGCCCAAATCATGGGAGCTTCAGTTTTCTGATCCATCAAATGTGAATAATATCTACATTTCAGGGATCTGGTGAGCTCCCCAGGTATGCCACAAACATTTTTTTCTTTAAGTTGGAAGTAATGTAGGTGATGCTGTTGCTAAGTAGACGCTATTAATTTGATTTAAAAGTCTGTCTCCAGACATTTATTTGGAAAGGTTTTCTAAAATGCTTCCTTAATCATATGGATCTATATAGCTATTAATCACTCTACCTCTCTTCATGCAAACTTTAAAAAAAAAGAGTAGTGTACATTGCTAGTATTAAAAACTTACATCTTATCCCATTTCAAAATGCAATTCACCAGAATCTGAATGCTACCTCCAATCTTCTTGTTAGAGTAACAATGATTTAATTTCTAAACAATTTAATTTCTCAACCCAGTTGGTGTTGTGCAGCCCACATCTAACTGGACTCTATATTTATAACAGTGTTGAGTTTTCATTGCTTGTTGAAACAATTATTTTGGCTTGCAGAACACTGAACTTATACTCTTTTGACAACTTTCTAATCCTCTTTTTTGTGATTTCCTCTTCTTTAATCCTCCCTCTGCACATCAGCCTCCCCAGAGCTCCATACTCAGGCCTCTGTTTCTATCACTTTAAACCCTCCGTCTAAATGGCCTTATACACTTTCATGGATTTAACTCTACTGACATGTTGAGAATTTACAAATAAAATATTCAGCATAGTTCCCCCCTCCAACCTTTATATTCTTTCCTAACTGCTTACTGGATATTTCAGTTGGGAAGCACATAAGCATCTAAAACTCAACCTATATTCAATCCTCAGTTCATTGTCTTTCCCATCAAATCTCCTTTCTTCTCCTAACTCCTCAAACCCATTTAATTGACAGGATCTACCAGTGTTATCTTCTAAACGAGTGGCATATTTCTTCTATTTCCTGTGCGTTGCTTTGTTATTTCATGACATGTTTATTCACTCCAAACTTTTAACAAGTCCCATGAAGCTTTCCATCCTCTGGCTCTCACCCATATCCAGCTTCATCTTTTGCAATGATTTTTCCGCTCCTGCGATCAGCAATTGCATTTCACTTTGCCGAACACACAGGCCATTCCTAAGCTCTGTCTCTGCTCATGTTCTTACTCTGCTCCATTCATTCATCTCCTCTCCATGTAGGCAGCTATTGTGTCTCCATTTAATTTGATTTATCAACTGTTTAAGATCTTTTTTAAGCCATATCTGGGGTTACATAACTCTTTTTTTTTTTTTTTTGGAGTCTCGCTCTGTCGCCCAGGCTGGAGTACAGTGGCGAGATCTCGGCTCACTGCAAGTTCCGCCTCCCAGGTTCACACCATTCTCCTGTCTCAGCCTCACAAGTAGCTGGGACTACAGGCACTACCACACCCGGCTAATATTTTGTATTTTTTAGTAGAGATGGGGTTTCACCGTGTTAGCCAGCATGGTCTCGATCTCCTGACCTCGTGATCCACCCGCCTTGGCCTCCCAAAGTGCTGGGATTACAGGCAGGAGCCACTGTGCCCGGCCCATAACTCTTCTGTACATTTTTTGTATATTTATGTCTATCCATTTAATTATCTGTCTGCTCCAATATAATAGGAACAAAACTGTGTCTTATTTGTCTTGGTATTATCAATACTCATAACTCATAAGACATAGTAAGGACTCAATAACTTTTTGTTGTCGAATGAATATAAGGGGTGAATACATAAATATGGAAAATGTAATTATTTCAATAATTTTGCATAATCTTTATTTTGATCTTCATTCTTCCTGAGGGAGACAGTTACAATCATTTCCAGGTAGACTGAATAAATTCAAATTAAGTTTAATCAATTAACGGTTTTCTGCTCTTCCTCTTTCACCCTGAAGTGACCACTAGTTGCAAGGATTTACGTAGATTTATGGGCCTACAGCCTTGAGATGGCAAGTGGTGTCCATTTGGTCCCTGGTCAATACTACCAATTTAAAATAGCGTCCACTGATATGTACACTCTCTTGTCTGATTATACCCCTATGTGAGAATTCAATGAACTGTCCATATGCCCATGTGTCCACATGTCCTGTCTCTGACTTAACCTTAAAACACATTTTTACCTGCCAGGCCAGTTGGTGGATCCTTTAAAGGCCCAGAAAACATATGCTCTTCCATGGAAATCTCGGATAATGAGAGGCTGCTCCAAGTCCCTTATGCCTGGACACTACAACATGATTTTTAATCTACTGCTTTCTATCAGACAAATGAGCACAAATCCATTTCCCTAAAATGGACTCTTCCCAAGAACCAGGGACACAGGACTCCTTCTCAAAGACCCAAATCAACATCTGTTTTGCTTTCTGCTTCTGCCTTATTCCGGGACAGCAGCTTTCAGATTTAAAAATGAAGAATGTGTCACTTTTCTCCTCTGCTTCCACACTAAAGATTTCTCCCTTGGGCAACACATTTCTGTTGTCTAGGGGTACAATTTGGAGAAGGTTAGTAACACAGTATACAGAAAACCTAGGAACTGAGTGAGGTCGAGAAATCATAGCACATCAACTAATACTCAACAATATTATTACAATACACATGCAATTTTTAATCAATCTCACATCAAAAAATGAAATAAATACAATCATTTTGCCTGCATTAGACACAATTACTTATATTGGTTTCTGCTATCAACTTTTAGTTTTCTTACAATCCAATTGCTCCAACTTGGTTTCACACTCTTTGAATCTTCAACCACAGGAAGCGCCTGTGTTTATCTGTGCTAGATTTGGCCCGTTGGTGTAGGACACTTTCCTGTGTTTTGACTCTTCAAATCCTAGCCTTAAGCTAGAAAAGCAAATGCTTCATGAAAACTCCATTCTCTAAGTAACAATTATATTTTGCAAGGTATTTTGCAGGATTTCAGACAACTAAATTTGACTTTGTTTCAGTGTAACAACTTCTCTATACCCTCTCGTCTTTTTTTGAGGGGTATGTGTAATTTTATCTGTAAAATGTGATCTTATATTTTCATGTGCCTTAATCTCTAGAAACTAGTAAACAAAACTTCAGTGAGTAACTGAGGCCATTAAATGATGCCTCATTCAAATAAACACCTTTACATCTGTTTCATAAAATTGACATTTTACTGTATGTAAGTTGGTATATTGCTTTATTTGAAGCACAATTATATTGTATTGTGATCGTTTTAAAATTGTCTGTAATAGTCTTAGATATTTTTTGAAAGTACAATTTGCAAGACTGTATAGATTTCTGTGCCGTGGAAGAAAGTATAACACCTCATTTCATATTAGTGAACATTTAAGACTTTATAGGCATTAGCTAATTATAAATCATATTGTGATTAATATTCCTTTACACACAGTATTGTCTAAGATTTATTTTGTTTTGTTTTTATTTTGCTTCTTAATTATGACAGATGTTTTTATGAATCAAAGAGAATAACAATTTGAGACTTCTAAAACATGCCTGCATTAAATATTCTTTAAAAATATTTTCTGTATTACATTTAAATTAAACATCTTAGTATCAATGTAGAAGAAATGTAGAGGAAAGAATGAAAAACTGAATTACAATCAATTTCTGACTTCCTACATCCTTAATTAATCAAAAGGTATTCAGGCTATGAGAGATAATCTATGTGAAATCTATTAAATAAAAAGTGTTATGTCGAAAATTAAAACTAACGGGAAAAAGCAGACTATGAAACTTATTATGAGTATGGAAAATATTCTGTTAGTTATTATTAGTGCTTAATATATACAAATGAGATTTTTTTAAGTCTATAAGTTAATATTAGAGAAAACCATGTTTTAATTATAAACTAAAATTTAACTACATATTTTTATGCATTCCTGTTTTTACTTCCAAAAGAGGTAAATTTTTCATCTCATAGCTGAGTGGAGACTTAATTTTTTCATCATTCAGTGTATACATAAGCTCTGTATGTGTTGTTTGTTAATTCCGTAAAATAACACTTCCATGATATGAAGAATGCAGGGTATTTTCCCAGCAAAGTTAATGTAACAGTGCATCATCTGGTGTTGATCGTGTGGAAATGCAGACACACAGTCCAAAGGCCAAGGAAGCATAGTAACAGCATAGTGTTAAATGTATTTAATCCATCACATTCATTCCTATTCATATTTTTATTTGTATCAGTATTCTATCAAACCAGAAAGGTGAGTGAAATAGGAAAGCATGAGTATTTATGCTTTTGTATTCTAGCTACAAACCGTTTTTTAACAAGTTAGAAAATTAAGTTTTCTTCTAGGGTTTTTATGGTTTTAGGTCTAACATTTAAGTCTTTAATCCATCTTGAATTAATTTTTCTATAAGGTGTAAGGAAGGGATCCAGTTTCAGCTTTCTACATATGACTAGTCAGTTTTCCCAGCACCATTTATTAAATAGGGAATCCTTTCCCCATTGCTTGTTTTTTCTCAGGTTTGTCAAAGATGAGATAGTTGTAGATATGCGGCGTTATTTCTGAGGGCTCTGTTCTGTTCCATTGATCTATATCTCTGTTTTGGTACCAGTACCATGCTGTCTTGGTTACTGTAGCCTTGTAATATAGTTTGAAGTCAGGTAGCCTGACGCCTCCAGCTTTGTTCTTTTGGCTTAGGATTGACTTGGTGATGTGGGCTCTTTTTTGGTTCCATATGAACATTAAAGTAGTTTTTTCCAATTCTATGAAGAAAGTCATTGGTAGCTTGATGGGGATGGCATTGAATCTATAAATTACCTTGGGCAGTATGGCCATTTTCACGATATTGATTCTTCCTAGGCATTACCATTCAGGACATAGGCATGGGCAAGGACTTCATGTCTAAAACACCAAAAGCAATGGCAACAAAAGCCAAAATTGACAAATGGGATCTAATTAAACTCAAGAGCTTCTGCACAGCAAAAGAAACTACCATCAGAGTGAACAGGCAACCTACAAAATGGGAGAAAATTTTCACAACCTACTCATCTGACAAAGGGCTAATATCCAGAATCTACAATGAACTCAAACAAATTTACAAGAAAAAAACAAACAACCCCATCAAAAAGTGGGCAAAGGATATGAACAGACACTTCTCAAAAGAAGATATTTATGCAGCCAAAAGACACATGAAAAAATGCTCATCATCACTGGCCATCAGAGAAATGCAAATCAAAACCACAATGAGATACCATCTCACACCAGTTAGAATGGCAATCATTCAAAAGTCAGGAAACAACAGGTGCTGGAGAGGATGTGGAGAAATAGGAACACTTTTGCACTGTTGGTGGGACTGTAAACTAGTTCAACCATTGTGGAAGTCAGTGTGGCGATTCCTCAGGGATCTAGAACTAGAAATACCATTTGACCCAGCAATCCCATTACTGGGTATATACCCAAAGGACTATAAATCATGGTGCTATAAAGACACATGCACACGTATGTTTATTGCGGCACTATTCACAATAGCAAAGACTTGGAACCAACCCAAATGTCCAACAATGATAGACTGGATTAAGAAAATGTGGCACATATACACCATGGAATACTATGCAGCCATAAAAAATGATGAGTTCATGTCCTTTGTAGGGACATGGATGAAATTGGAAATCATCATTCTCAGTAAACTATTGCAAGGACAAAAAAACCAAACACCGCATGTTCTCACTCATAGGTGGGAATTGAACAATGAGAACACATGGACACAGGAAGGGGAACATCACACTCTGGGGACTGTTGTGGGGTGGGGGGAGGGGGGAGGGATAGCATTAGGAGATATACCTAATGCTAAATGACGAGTTAATGGGTACAGCACACCAGCATGGCACATGTATACATATGTAACTAACCTGCACATTGTGCACATGTACCCTAAAACTTAAAGTATAATAATAATAAAATAAAAAAAACAAGTTAGAAAATTAAATTGGCTCATGCAATCCAAAAATCATCAAGATCACGTTTAGAAGATCTAAAAAATATTTGTATTAAAGCCTCCTGTCTCCTAAAATTTACAAGCTGACAAAGGCTAAGTGTAGCCATGGATTTATTTATATGCACACACAGAGAGGCACTTGCAATCCATGGGGCCAGAAATCTTTAAAACTGGGCTACTTTACATTCTTATTTCAATTCTGAACAATTCTCCATTTGAACATAAGTCCTTATCACTCCTTTTCTGAGTATCATGGATCTTACAAGAAGGCATACAGATGAATTTCAGCAAAGGGTGCCTATTCCTTATTGAGTAGTTGGGGTAAATGGGAAGAAGAAATGTATATGTTAAAGGTGGCTAGTTCATTTTTTAGCAGCCGAACTACAGACCCAGCTGGTGAGGGAAGTATAGGGATCGGTACCCACTGGGTACTCAGGTTTGTGTTCCGAGTTGAGTGATGTATAGGCTAAGCTCCTTCCTACTTCTTGCTTCTCATTACCCAGAGACATTGGGTCCTCATTAAAAATATCAATTGCTTTTCTTCATGAACTAGTTGTAGCAGGCCTGGTAAACATCTAGAATGATTTTTCCAACTGCCACTGGTGAGATAGTTTGGTGGCACTGGCTCTGCTGTTTCTCAAGGTACAGGTCACAAAGATCCCAATGACAAAACGGGACGCAGTAAAGAAGACAGCCCACACCAGCCACAACTAGGATGGTAACAAAAGCTACTTCCAGTTGTCCTCACTGCTCATTATAAGCTAATTATAATACATTAGCATACTAAAGGAAACTCTCACCAGCACCAGGACAGTTTATAAATGCCATGGCAATGTCAGGAAGTTACCCTATACGGTCCGAAAGAGGGAGGATCCCTCAGTTCCAGGAATTCCTTGCCTTTTTCCAGAAAAACTAATGAATAATCCACCCTTTGTTTAGCATATGATCAAGAAATAACCATAAATGTAGCCAACTAGGCTGCTCTGCCTATGGTGTGGCCACCCTTTTGTTCCTTTACTTTCTTAATAAACTTCCTTTGAACTTCTCTCTGTCCCCCGACTCTTAAATCTCTTCCTGTTAGAAGTCAAGAACCCACGTGTCCTCCCAGGCTAAACCGTTTTGGGATTCACCTGGTGACACTGGAATTCCAAAATAGTACAAATCTGTAAAGATAAAAATAGTCCCTCTTTTGCATGGCATCTGTTCTTCCAGCACTATGAGAAGTGAGAGTGCGAAAGAATCAAATATTTGTCATTGATTTGGCCTGGCATTAACAAAGACCCCAGTTTTTAATATGTGCAAGTATATGTAGATGTTTTATGCATAATAAATATAATATAAACATACATATATAAAGATGAAGCCTATATTCTTTAGAGCAAGATTTCCTGATAATTCAAATTCCAGGTCTACTACTTGCTGGTTGTGGGAATTTCATGTCATTTAACTTCTTTGTTCCTCATGTCCTCAAAGGTATTACAAAGAATGATATAACAGAATCTTTCTCATGGGGCTCTTGTAAGGAATAAAAGAGCATATATGGTTTCTATAAAGTACTTGGTAAGCCTGGTGCGTGATAAATTCTCAAACTGTTTTAGGGTATATGTAATTTCAATAGAGAGAAATAGGATAGCTGTGTATTTCATCGAGTGCTACAGGAATTGGGTTGGGAAATGTTCACTTAGACTCTTTTCTAAATCTCATTTCAACTTAGGACAGAATGAGGACAAACCTTCATGTTTCTTCAAAGTTCCTAGACATCTTTGGTGACAGTTCTCAAGTTGGATTTTTACTAAAAAAAAAAAAAAAAAATTAAAAAGAAAAATAACCTCTGGTGAAAATTTCATACGTATTTGAATATTTAAAACATAATCCCTTAAATATGCATTGTAATATTAATCATCCATTCTTTTATCATATGTTAGTGATTTTTTAAAAACAAAAATATCAACATTATAGTGGACTTCTTTTTATAATTATTTCACTGTTAAATATTTTATTTTTAAAAACTCCATTTAACATGTACCTACTATATGCTAAAAGTCAGTGACAGCACTCATCCAAATTAATTTTGGTAATTTCCTGCTTTTGGATAATTTGCTTTCTTTAAATTAACAGACACTGCACCGTTTTCCTACAAAACTTGTGTTACTTGTTATAAAATATGGTTATGAGAAGACTGAGTTAAGCATAGTTAAACAATTAATTCTCTGTGAGAGATATTTCTCAGCTCATCAGATTATATTCGTGATTTTTAGCAATTATAGTAACAGCTGTCAAAATAGAGGCTTATTGTAGGGATCAAACAGATGGTGTAAAGAAACAATGCTTGTGACGTTGGCTATTATAGGGGGCAGTGAGCACTGAGGTAAAATAGATAATTTATGTCCCATCTGAAGTGTACACACACACACTCACCACACTCAAATATTAAATATGACATCCACATATGTATGTATTTAAAACTGTTGAGTTCTATACTGTCTTATGATTGTCATGTGGAGGGTAGGACCAACCTTCTGCCTAAAATTTAGAATTCATTCAGATATGGAGACTAATGACATCATACATGCACCAATGAGGCATGAAAGAAAGTTTGTTATTCAGACATGACGAGAATTTCCAGGAGGAGCAGGAGAGGCACAAGCCTGTCCAAAGGGCAAGAGGGAAGCAAGGTGGGTTGGCTTAGGCTTTTACCGTGCTTAGGAGGCAAGGCTGGAGCACAGGTTCAAGTCCATGAGCTAGGATCTGCATGGTTTGAAATTTTTTCAGCACCAAGAGATGGAGAGCAACCCAGCTGTGGGACAAGGAGGAAGGGGAGGAGTGGGGACTGAACACTGTCAGTGGCCAAACACATGAAAAATGGAATCTTCCTCTTTTTACACATAATTTCGCTTAAGTCACAAAAGACTACAATAAAATAAAGTCACATACTAAATGTGTTACACACAAAAGAATATTCCATTAGCTTACTAGAATTTCTGTTTTAAAATTTTTATACTCACAGGCAGCAGGATCCCAGGAAATGTAATTACACATTTCCCATAGAAAAGAAGATCAATGTATTGTTGTGAGACCTGGATAAAAGGCAAATGATCTAAAACATATTTTCTAAGTCTGTCAGGAATTAACAAACTGCACAGTAATAGAGAATGTTTGTCTGGAGAATGTATATCTCTATATCCTAGCAAAAGGGACATTGCAGATGGGATAGTAGATCTAAAAAGTTGGAAATATCAGAATTCATCAGCAAGATACAAACATGTACACTAATTCTACATTTTGAGAATGGTAGTTTGATTTTGTTACTCGTATGTATCATCCTGCTTCTATATGGAGCACGTACTGTAGGGAGGATAAGTATGTCTTAAATCTTCTAAGGAAAGAGTAAAAATAAATACACACATGCTTATAATTTCAAAATATCAGCGAATAAAAATATACACAATTTATTAATGTCTAGACTTTCTCTAGAACATCCCTAAAATTAATGTCGACTTTTTCTAGAAATCCCTCAAATTTTAACTTTTATACATAATCTCCTGAAACATTTTAATGCTTTAAGCAGCAATTTTATGTTGTTATTTTAAATGTCTTCGCTGTCTTCATTCACATCTTGATAAGAATGAACTAAAACACTTTTTTTTGGTCCATGGAATTTTAGACCTAGAAGATGCTAATTCATGTTCTGCAAAAGGGGATTTCTTGTGATCGTTTAAGTTCAGGATCAGCTGGATTTACTAAAGTATTATTAGACCTCTCGGAGACTTTGATAGGGTAATTTGGCTATGAATTTCAAAGAGGTAAAAACATAATTTAGTGTACATTTATTATTACTAATATATTCATAATTTCCAGTATACAGCTTTTTATTTCTAATGAATGGAGATGTGTTGGGAAGTTTTAATGTGTCTTTCTCTTGCTATTGTGGAGACAAGCTCATATAAATTGTTTGACTTAAATCTTAATTAGGGTTTGATAACCATTTAGCTGTGTTCACCGTAGTCCAGTTTCAAAATGTTATAAAAACAATCTTCAGAGCATGTCATAGAAGATATAGTTATTTTAGTTTCCTTAAAAATTAAAAAAATCTAAAAAGAGGAGAAATGTGTTTCTAAGTTCATAAATCAATAAAAAGTGGATTAAGTTTGTAATAGTATAAATCACAGGAATCATTTCCTAAATTTTAGTATGGCTTCCAACACTGGCTACTGAGATATGAAAACAGCACTATTTCTCTTTATTATCAGAGAAAGATATTGTCCATCAAGGATATCACTGGCAAATTCATGGTATTAGCACTACCATATCTCTTTATTAACATTGATGCAGTATTTGTCAGAGGCTTTGCTTTTAACAGTCCATAGTAAAGACTCAGCATCTGTCTTTGGAGCTCCAATTCATTGTGTCCTGATTTTAGCTTTTCTGTTTCCTTAAGGTTCTGAGATTGCCTATTGTGTCTTTCAATAGACAGCATACTTCCTATTCCCCTTTCCTCTCATCTAATCTCAGAAGCCTTGTGAGTCACTGACTGAATCTGACAAGAAACTCACAGTCTGGCATCTTCTTCGCTTTGGTTGAAATATTCATTCTCAAGAATTTCATTCATCCATCAGCTATGGCATTGAGATTACAGGGTCCTAAGTCCCTCATTCCTTCAGTGGGTATACTGAACACCATCACCACTCTCACTGAGTCCATTTAACTCCTTGGAACTCTTAAATTAACAGTTAAGTATATTCATAAAATGCTCTTTGCTCAGTTTAACTGGTGCTTTCTTTCACCTGTAGTTAGAGTTCAATAACCCTGCAAAATATTCTTCTGACATGTAACCATTGCACCAGTCCCACTGTCATGAAGAGGAAACAGTTATATAATCCATAAAGAAAAAGACTTATTTTTAAGTGCCTACAAAAACCCAACAGAATGTACAGGGAATCTTCTATTTTTGGTTTTAGGCATATATTCTATACCACATAGCGCACACAGGGTGACAGTTTCAGGAGCTGTTTTCAGCTCTCTTTAAATCACCCATCTCCCCCACATTTACAACTGGTGTGGAGTGGCACTCTCATTCTCGTTATGTAGGGTATAGAGTGGACATTGTAGTTGTTTTCTCAAGAGCCATTTCAGCCCTCCATGTTGTGAATGTAGTTGGAAGGGATGAGCTTTAAGTGGTCTAAACTCTTAGGAATGGTTCCATTCTCCTTACCATGGTGGTTGATTTGGAGATGACCGGAGGCAAGCCAAGTTTAAGATGGGTATTTGATGGTTGTGAGAACTGTCTCTCTCCCTCTGGATCTGAACAGGTGATGATGACAATAACAGCTAAAATTATGAAGTGCTTACTGTGTGTCAAATGTTGGTTTTCTAAGCATATTCTATTGATTTAGGTTATTGAATTTTCACGATAGTTTCATGAGATGGAGTTTGTGCTTATTCAGATAATCCATATGAGTGAACTGAAATACAGAGGTTAAGTAAATGCTCAAGATCACATGTCTAATCAATAGTTGAGCTGGATTGTCAGCTCAGGCAGTCTGCAGCTGGGATTATGCTCATGACCAATGTACTGTCACTATTTTGGGTTTTTTTTTTGGTGTTAGTTGTTTTTCAACCGTGAAGGTAGTAATCTTACGCAGACAAGAGGAAAGCTGAGAAAATCAAAGGTAAATGGAATCAGAGCCCAAATTGAACTGTGTGGAAAGAACATCACAGCTCTGAATGTCTCAGTTTCAAAAACTTTATTTTATTTAGTCAATAAATTTATTAAGTTTATTCAATAAACTTTCTCTATTTTAAGTCAGTTTGAGTTAAATATTTCTGTTACTTGCAGCGGAAAGCCTCCTAACCAATACAACAATTAGTGCCAGGAAGACACAGTCACAAAGCGCAGACTTTAATGCTTATTTGCTTGAGGAGGGAAGAAAGAATGAAGAGCTCTGAGGACTTTTACTTCTAGGTGTACATATGGTAATCCCTTGTTAGACATTAATAATTAGTGACTTTCATCCAATTAGGAGAATGACATTCTCTTTGCCTAGAGATTATGTTGGCAATGCATCTGTAATAGATATATGTCACTGAGTGCATAGATTTCCCCTTGCCTCAATGAGGTGACTGATGCAAGAATAGATAAATTCAAGGGAGATAAGGCATTCTGTTTGACATTATGAAAGTGACTATCTCTCCCTCTCCTGCATGTCAAGGAAGAACTATATTGCTGGCAGTCATTTTTTCCTTACAGGAAGACACCTGAAGAGGAAGCCACACTTGGAGAAGCACAGAACCCAAAATACTAGAAAGAAACACAGGAGGAGGCTTCATTTATCTCCCTACCTCAGACAGTTTTGATTACATGAGCCAATGAATCCCCTTTCCTGTCTATGACACTTTCAGATGTTTTTTTGTGTTACCACCCAAAGCATGCTGAGTGATACAGTGTGCCCTGCATTCCAGTTTTATAGGAAATATCTCCTTGGGGCATTCTTTCTTCCTTTCCTCACCTGTGTCATCTACTTTAATTTAGCCCTGGCCCTTCTCCTTTGCCTTCTGAATTCCAATTATTTATAAAATCAGCCTCCTATGCAAGTTGTCATGGTGATGAGGAATAAAGCTGTAGATCCTGAGGATGGAAAAAGGGTCAAAGAGGTGCACACCCTGATATCCCATCATATTACCTAAAAGATAAGGTTTCCCTCCATGTGTCCATGTAGATGATGGGTTGAAAGGTGCAGCAAACCACCATGGCACATGTATACCTATGTAACAAATCTGCATGTTCTGCACATGTGTCCCAGAACTTAAAGTATAATAAAAATAAAAATACAAATCAAAATAAAAGGTTTCAGCTTGAGTTTATCTGTTACTGTGAAAAGAAACACTTCAAACATTAGTGGCTTCAACCAGCTCCAGCATTTATTGTCTCTCATAATATTGTGTGTTCACTAGGTATTATTTGGGTTCCACTACATGGTGCCTGCCGGCTGGGCCACTCTTCCAGCTGCATTTAGCTGGGAGTCTGGCTCAGTTCTTCTTCACATAACCACCCTTTCCAGGTGGAGTTATCTTCCAGGACTTCTGCAAGCAGTTTTTCTCTCCAGAAGGAGAGCCTAGGTTTCCTATAGTATATAACTGGTCCGATGAGGGAATATTCTAAGAGGGCAAGCCCCAAAGTGCAATGCTTATCAAGTGCATGCTTATCAATTAATGCTAAACAAGCATTGGGCTGGCTTAGATCTACTAGCCAAAGCAACTTATTTGGCTACACCCAGAGTCAATGTGTTAGAAACTACACAACAGTATGACAACTTGCGTATGTGGCTCACTGGGGGTGACCATTGTAATAGTTTATTGTAGATAATGAGGCCTTTTACACTGTCAGTATTAATTCCCTGTTAACATCACCCAAAGATTCCAAAGCCAATCACCTTATTGACTTTGGGTGCATTGTTAAGATCTTTGAATTATTGAGCCACAAAAATAGTCAATAATTTTCATGACTCAGAAGGGGTATAGGTAAAGGAACAGATCTAAAAAACCATTTTATCAGACCCCCATTTGATCTATCTGGTTTAAGTACATTTCTGTTAGTTGCAACCAAATATTTCTGAACAAAACAAATTAAAATCCTTTTTAAAAGTGGAAGTGAACATATTATTTGGGATTTGGAATTACATTAATTAGAATGCCTTGCTAGGCCGGGTGCGATGGGTCATGCCTGCAATCCCAGCACATTGGGAGGCCGAGGAGGGTGGATCACGAGGTCAGGAGTTCGACACCAGCCTGGCCAAGATGGTGAAACTCCATCTCTACTAAAAATACAAAAATTAGCTGGACATGGTGGCACATGCTTGTAATCCCAGCTACTTGGGAGGCTGAGGCAGGAGAATAGCTCGAACCTGGGAGGTGGAGGTTGCAGTGAGCTGAAATCGCGCCATTGCACTCCAGCCTGGGCAAAAAGAGCAAAACTCCATCTTAAAAAAAAAAAAAAAAATTAGAATGCCTTGCTAGTCTTGCTGTTTAAAAACTTAATATTAAGCATCCTCTATATCAAGCACTTCAGGTGATTTCCCATGAGCTAAATCATCGAATTTTATCATTCGATGTGTCAACCTTGTGACATAGATACAATTTTTTTTTTCTTTTTACATTTAAAGAAACTGGGACTTGGCAAATTTAATAACTCATCAATGTCACACAGTACAATGTAGAAGAGCTAATATTTAAGGAGAATTGGAAAAATATTTTTCTAAAATGGAATTACACGAAAAAAGTGGAATGAGACAGACATTTCTGACTAAATAGTTCATCTTCTACTAAAAACCTCTCCACCCCACCCCCTACGAAAAAGCAAAAAATAAAAAAAAAAAAAATTAAAAAAAAAAGGTTGATGGCCCCTGGATCTGAGGTGGTCCTGCTTTATTTGACATCTGTAGTTCCACTGACAGCCTGTGTTGACCAAGGTCACCTGGATGGCTGCACGGGTATGCCCTTTCTCTCTGAGAGCTCCAGCAATGTCCTCCCAAAAGCTATCTAAGAATGATGACTTCCTGGAGAAAAGAATTTGTTATTCCCCCTTTTCAGGCGCCACTGACATGCTTTCATTTATCTTTTAAGTCTGTTTTAAATGTAATTCATAGACTTGCCATGTTCTTTGTTATCTGTGGAAAAACTAAGACTGTAATTTTGTTAATGACTCCAGTCATTATCAGAGGAAGGAGATCAAGGCCCATTCTGCTGCTATCAAGCAATAAAGCAGGTCAGGAATTGGGAGTAAGTAGGGATACAGAATATTGTTGGAAACACAGTAAGATGAAGGTGTCAGCTGAGGAAGTAAAATGAAACAGGAAGTAAATTCAAAGTATAGGAAATAGGAACTGTTCCAATCCAAGTGCAGAATTGCAAAGCATCACAGTCCAGATTGTCATCTTAAGTCAAGGACAGGATGTATGAGGGGCAGGCAAGCTGAGGAGGTAAAGGCTATAGAATATGATGTGGTTTACATAGACTAGAGGTAGATCACAGGCATTATTCCTTGCTCTATTCACTCTCTTTATTTGTCACAGGGTCAAAAATTTCCCAGATACATCATTAAAGGTTAAACATTCCCTTAATAATTTAGATGATGACATTAAAATGTTTATGTCATCACCAAAATTTTTATTGCTTTTTGTTTTCCTTGTGGAGGAAACAAAAACCTGAATCATTTGACATTCATGGCAAATAATACGATGTTTGTCTAAATTGACCAGTTGGTAATCTCAGCATCTGCTTACATATCTATAACGTTTCATTTTTAAATATAGCACACAGATGGAAGAAGTAAAATTTGTTTCTAATTAGTACAAATGAGCTAGAATAAAATCTTCAGTATTTTAGCTCAGAAATGATCTTATGAATATACTTTCACTCGTGAATGTAATTTTAAGTGCATACTACATTAAGGCCATTTATATAAATATTTCTCACCTTAAGTAAGCTCTTTATTTTCAGGACTGAAATATCCATGAGTATTGCCGAACAAATATGACTCATCTTTATTTGTAATCCAATATTGTTTGTTTTAGGGGAAGCGTGATAAACAGAAGTATCTCTCCTATGTAGTTAGATTAATCAGGATGTTATTTTGTATTGCCTAGAGCACTGTGTTTAGTAATTGGATAATTTGTCTTCCCCATCACAATAATAGCGGATGGAATCAGTATACTTGCCATGAAGAAGTTTGTTTCTGCCTGAGCTCAGGGAAAATTTGACTACTTCTATCAGATTAACATCCATTTGAAAATAAATTATTCCTGTAATTGTCAACAGAACCCAAAAGCCTTCTAGGGCTTCCTCGGGGAATATTATTGCAGTGGGAAGGAAGGGCAGGTATCGTGAGGGAGGGCCGGGGAAACATGAGCAAGGGATGATGAGGGAGGACGTCTCCTAGATGGCTTCCTTCCCTTCAAGCCCAGGAGGACACATAGTGAGCATTGCCCTGCTGATAAATTGGGATACAGAACTGAGTCACTACTGTCCCATTGGCACATGGCTTAGTGCTTCAGAATGACGCTGTGAAATGAAGATCACAGATTAATGTGTATACAGGGCCATTGTGAGAGGAAAAGAAAATACCAGGACAGCTTGCATTGCTTTAGTGAAGCATGTTATTTGCAACTCAAGGAAGTTCTGTGTCTAAAGTTAATAGTTCAGTAAGTGTGGCTCTCCGTCCTGATCGTTACCGGGAATAACTAACTGCTGTTGCCTCATGGGAAAGGCCTTTCTTTGGAAGGGGAAGGGACAGGATTTCACTCTGTTGCCCAGGCTGGAGTGTGTGGGGCTATCACAGCTCACTGCAGCCTCAACTTCCCTGACTTAAGTGATCCTCCCACCTCAGCCTCCCAAGTAACTGGGACTACAGACACATGCCACCACACCTGGCTAATATTTTTATTTTTCTGTAGAGATGAAGTCTTCCTATGTTGCTTAGGCTGGTCTCAAACTCCTGGGCTCAAGCAATCTTCCCACCTCGGCCTTCAGGGATTACAGGCATGAGCTACTGCATGCGGCTGGGAAAGGCCATTTTCTGCCCACGTGTCCAAATGAATATTCTGTCTGACACACACGTAGATACAGTCATCTCCCCTTATCCATGGTTTACCTTTCCATGGTTTCAGTTATCCTCAATCAGGCAAAGTCTGAAAATATTAAGTGGAAAATTCTAGAATAAACAATTTATAAGTTTTACATTGGTAAGTTCTGAGTAGCATCCTGCTCTGTCCTGCCTGGGACATGAATCTTCCCACATGTCCCTGGGACATGTGTACCCTGTGGTACACAGGGTATCCACACCGTTTGTACCCATTAGTCATCAACGTGGTCTGCTCCTGACATCCAACCATCCACATCATGGCCCCATGATCCAGGATCTCCCAAGGCAGATGATCCCCCTTCTATCCTGTTGTGAGAAGGTCAATAGCCTAACACTACATAACAGTGCCTTCATCATTTGCCTCTCTTCATCTCAGCACTTGAGCATTTTATCATCTCACGACATCATAAGAAGAAAAATGGTAAGTACACCACAAGACATTTTGAGAGACAAAGACAGAGGAGACCACATTTATGTAACTTTTATGATAGTGTATTATAATTTCTTCTACTATTATTAATATTAGTCACTGTTGTTCACCTTTCACTGTGCCTAATATATAAATTGAACTGTATAATCGGAATGTAAACATAGGAAAAGTCATAATATAGACAGCTCTGTCTTATTTGTGGTTTCAGGCATCCATTGGGAGACCTGGAACATATCTTTTGTGGATAGAGGGACGGCTATACAGATGCTCCTCAGCTGATGATGGAGTTATGCCCATTACACATTGAATATATCCTGGGTCAAAAGGGCATTTTAACTAACGATATTTTTAACTTACCATGGGTTCCTCCAGATGTAACCCTGTTGTCATTCAAGGAGTATAGTGAAAGTGTGTAGTGTTTTGTAACACAGTAAAGTCAAAAAATTGTAAGTTGAACCATGCTGAGTCAGGGATTATGTGTATATATTCATACATGTAGATAATACAATTTATTTTCTTTTCACTGTTTATTAACAATTATAATATTTAGTCTTAGTCCTCTTCACACATTGCAGAAAGAATTTTGGAGTTTTCAAATTTAGCAATGTCAGTGGCAAAACCTCTCAGACTATGTGCTCTTGTCTTTGAGAATTCTGAGAGCTTTTCTTCACAGCTGCAGGCTCTTTTATTATCTCAATGTTCCCTCATTTTTCTACCGGCAAAATAACTTCAGAGTAAAGAAAATAAAAGCATCTTTGCTTCATTTTTTTTTTGCCTCCAGTTTCACCACCTTTCATTTTCACTGCAGAAATAAAAAGATAGAAACCCAATAAAACATGTAAGTCATCTGTATGAGTCATATGGTCCCATATGACTATTTCCACAATCAGAAGTGTTTCTGCCAACGTAGATGGCAGTGAAGGATGCCAATGATCAATGAAGTACTTTTCTGTCACAAGTAATCCTTTTCTTGCTTTTTGTATTCATAACTATTAATAATTAGAAATGTGAGGACTACTATTTTATTATAATAATTGCTATTAGAATTTTCAGATGTAGGCAGAACACGGCAGACAGGAGACAGGACCAGATTGCAGCTCTGACTAGGATGAACAGAGCAGTATGCGGAGGCCCGCACTGTGAATTTTGGCTTTGGAATGACTGCAGGAATAAATCAGGAAACCCAAGGAGACCCACAGACCCTCTGAAGGAAGCAAATTGCTCCTGCAGGACCTGGGAGACATCCGAAATACTGTGAGTGCCCAAAATGTGGAAGTGGGAAAGGGAGATCATCCACCCCCATACACACCCCTCAACTGGGGAAACTGAAGGTCTACATTACAAGAGAAGATTCTGACCTCATCTGGAGCTGAGTCGATTTAGAGAGCTGAGCAAAATACAGGGGTAGAGAAAGCAGCAGGAAAGCCCTGTGAGCTCACTGGGTCCCCTAGCAAACCATTTCTGCCTGGTCTCACAGGGGTCCTTTGGGAGGGCACCAGAGGCCCTGGGAAAAGGCCACAGGGAGAAGGAAAGCTCCAGCTGAACTTTGTAACAATTTGAGCTGATCAAGAAGTCTTCTTGCCAGAACTCAGGGTAGGGGAGTGAATCCAGTGTGCAGACTCCACAGGCGGGTGTAGAAGGAAAGCCATACTTGCTTTCGCAGCTGGGAGGCGGGTAGCCTGGGGCAAGTTCTCAGCACTGCTCACCTACCCCTTGAAACAGACTCGGTGCTATACAGGGTGGCACGGTGGGAGTGAGACCAGCCCTTCGGATTGCACGGGAGCTGGGTGAGGCCTGTGACTGCTGGGTTTCCCTCCACTTCCCTGACAACCTGCATGACACAGTAGAGGCAGCCATAATCCTCCTAGGAACAAAGCACAAAGGACACCTGGGAAATTCATTGCCAAAAGATCATCACCTTGGCACATTGTCATCAGGTTATCTAAAGTTAAGATGAAAGAAAGAATCTTAACATCTGTGAGACAAAAGCACCAGGTAATCTCTAAAGGAAAACCTATCAGATTAACAGCAGATTTCTCAGCAGAAACCCTACAAGCTAGAAGGGATTGGAGCACTACCTTCAGCCTCCTCAAACAAAACAATTATCAGCTAAGAATTTCGTATCCAGTGAAACTAAACTTCATATATGAAGGAAAGACACAGTCTTTTTCAGACAAACCAGTGCTTACAGAATTTTCCTCTACCAAGCCACCACTACAGGAACTGCTAAAAAGAGCTCTAAATCTTGAAATAAATCCTGGAAACACATCAAAACAGAACCTCTTTAAGCATAAATCTCACAGGACCTATATATCAAAAACAATTTGAAAAACAAAAGCAAAAACCAAAAAATGAAGGTATACAGGCAGCAAATAGCATGATGAATGCAAGGGTACCTCACATCTCAATACTAACGTTGAATGTAAATAGCCTAAATGCTCCACCTAAAACTACAGAATGGCAGAATGGATAAGAATTCATCAACCAACTATCTGCTGCCTTGAAGAGATAGCCCTTCACCTAACACATAAGGACTCACATAAACTTAAGGTAAAGGGATGGAGAAAGACATTTCATGCAAATGGACACCAAAAGTGAGCAGGAGTTGTTATTCTTATATCAGACAAAAGAAACTTTAAAGCAACAGAAGTTAAAAAAGACAAAGAGTGTTATTATATAATGATAAAAGGTCTTGTCCAACAGGAAAATATCACTGTCCTAAATATACATGCACCTAACACTGGAGCTCCCAAATTTATAAAAAAAATTACTAATAGACCTAAGAAAGGAGATAGACAGCAACACAGTAACAGTGGGGGACTTCAATACTCCACTGACAGCACTAGACAGGTCATCAAGGCAGAAAGCCAACAAAGAAATAATGGATTTAGTGGCTCAGGCCTGTAATCCCAGCACTTTGGGAGGCCAAGGCGAGCGGATCATGAGGTCAGGAGATCGAGACCATCCTGGCTAACAAGGTGAAGCCCTGTCTCTACTAGAAATACAAAAAATTAGCTGGGCATGGTGGTGGGCGCCTGTAGTCCCAGCTACTAGGGAGGCTGAGGCAGGAGAAGGCATGAACCCACAAAGCGGAGCTTGCAGTGAGTCAAGATTGTGCCACTATACTCCAGCCTGGGGGACAGAGCAGCAAGACTCCTTCTAAAAAAAAAAAAAAGAAAAGAAATAATGGATTTAAACTATCCCCTGGAACAAACGGACTTAACAGATATATACAGAACATTCCATCCAAGAACTGCCGGATATACATTCTATTCAACAGCACACGGAAGTTTTTCCAAGATAGACCATACAATAGGCCACAAAACAAGCCTCAATAAATTTAAGAAAATTGAAATTATATCAAGCACTCTCTCAGACCACAGTGGAATAAAACTGAAAATAAACTCCAAACAGAACCTTCAAACCATGCAAATACATGGAAATTAAATAACTTTCTCCTGAATGATCATTAGGTCAAAAATAAAATAGAGATGAAAATTAAAAAAAGATTTGAACTGAATGACAATAATGACAAAACCTATCAAAATCTCCTGCATACAGCAAAGGCGGTGCTAACAGGATAGTTCATAGACCTAAATGTCTACATCAAAAAGTCTGAAAGGGCACAGACAGACAATCTAAGGTCATACCTCAAGGAACTAGAGAAACAAGAACAAACCAAACCCAAACCCAGCAAAAGAAAGGAACTAACCATATCAAAGCAGAACTAAATAAATTCAAGTGACATCAAAAAATACAAAAGGTAAATGAAACAAAAAACTGGTTCTTTGAAAAGATAAATAAATTGATAGGCCATGAGCAAGATTAACCAAAAAAAAAGAGAGACTGACAGAAAATCCAAATAAGCTGAATAAGAAACAAAATGGGAGATATTACAACTGACACCACAAAAATACAAAAGATCATTCAAGGCTACTGTGAACACTTTTATGCACATAAATTTAAAAACCTAGAAGAGATGGATAAATTCCAAAAAAGATACAACCCTCCTAGCTTAAATCAGGAAGAATTAGATACCCTAAACAGACCTGTAACAAGCAGTGAGATTGAAGTAATTTAAAAATTACCAATAAAAAAAAATCCAGGACCAGACGGATTCACAGCAGAATTCTACCAGACACTGAAAGAAGAATTGGCACCAATCATCTTCACACTATTCCACAAGATAGAGAAAGCGGGAACCCCCCACAAATCATTCTATGAAGCCAGTGGCACCCTAATACCAAAACCAGGAAAGGACATAACCAAAAAAGAAAGCTACAGACCAATATCACTGATAAACATAAATGCTAAAATCCTTAACAAAATACTAGCTAACCAAATCCAACAACATACCTAAAAGATAATCCACCATGATCAAGTGGGTTTCATACCAGGGATGCAGGGATGGTTTAACATATGCAAATCAATAAATGTGATACACCACATAAACAGCATCCACAATAAAAATCACATGATCATCTCAATAGATGCAGTAAAAGCATTTAACAAAAAACAGTATCTTTTTATGATTAAAACTCTCATCAAAATTGACATACAAGGGACGTACCTCAATGTAATAAAAGTCATCTATGACAAACCCACAGCCAACATAATACTGAATGAGGAAAAGTTGAAAGCATTCCCTCTGAGAACTGGAACAAGATGAGGATGCCCACTCTCACTACTCCTCTTCAACATCATACTGGAAGTCCTAGCCAGAGCAATCAGACAAGAGAAAGAAATAAAGGGCAAGCAAATCAGTAAAGAGGAAGTCAAACAGTCACTGTTTGCTGATGATATGATTGTTTACCTAGAAAACCCTAAAGACTCCTCCAGAAAGCTCCTAGAAATGATAAAAGAATTCAGCAAAGTTTCTGGATACAAAATTAATGTACATAAATCCGTAGCTTTTCTATATACCAACAGCGACCAAGCTGAGAATCAAATCAAGAACTCAACTCTTTACAATAGCTGCAAAAAAATTAAAATAAAATACTTAGGAATATACCTAATCAAGGAGGTGAAAGACTTCTCCAAGGAAAACTACAAAATACTGCTGAAATATTTCACAGATGACACAAATGGAATGGGTAGAATCAATATTGTGAAAATGACCATACTGCCAAAAGCAATCTACAAATTCAAAGCAATTCCCATCAAAATATCACCATCATTCTTCACAGAATTAGAAAAAAAAAATTCTAAAATTCATATGGAACAAAAAAAAAGCCCACATAGTCAAAGCAAGACTAAGCAAAAAGAACAAATCTGGAGGCATTGCATTACCTGACTTCAAACTATACTATAAAGCCATAGTCAACAAAACAGCATGGTACTGGTATACAAATAGACACGTAGACCAATGGAACAGAATAGAGAACCTAGTAATAAACCCAGATGCTTACACCCAACTGATCTTCGACAAAGCAAACGAAAACATAAAGTGGGGAAAGAACATCCTTTTCAACAAATGATGCTGGGATAATTGGCTAGCCATATGTAGGAGAATGAAACTGGATCCTCATCTCACCTTATTCAAACATCAACTCAAGATGGATTAAGGACTTAAACCTAAGACCTGAAACTATGAACATTCTGGAAAATAACATTGGAAAAACCCTTCTAGATATTGGCTTAGGCAAGGATTTCATGACCAAGAATCCAAAAGCAAATGCAATAAAAACAAAGATAAATAGCTGGGACTTAATTAAACTAAAGAGCTTTTGCATGGCAAAAGGAACTATAGTCAGCATAAACAGACAACCCACAGAGTGAGAAAAAATCTTCACAATCTATACATCTGACAAAGGACTAATATCCAGATTCTATGATGAACTCAAACAAATCAGCAAGAAAAAAAAAATCCTATCAAAAAATGGGCTAAGGACATGAATAGACAATTCTCAAAAGAAGATATACAAATGGTCAACAAACATATGAAAAAATGGTCAACATCACTGATGATCAGGGAAATACAAATCAAAACCACAATGCAATATCACGTTACTCCTGCAAGAATGGTCATAATAAAAAAATCAAAAAAAAAAATAGATGTTGGCATGGATGCTGGAAACAGGGAACACTTCTACACTGCTGATGGGGATGTAAACTATTAGAACAACTATGGAAAACAATGTGGAGACTCCTTAAAGAACTAAAAGTAGAACTACCATTTGATCCAGCAGTCCCAATACTGGGTATCTACTCATAGGAAAAGAGGTCATTATATGAAAAAGATACTTGCACACGCATGTTTATAGCAGCACAATTCACAACTGCAGAACCATGGAACAAATCCAAATGCCCAACAATCAATGAGTGGGTAAAGAAACTGTGAGACATATGTATGATGGAATACTACTCAGCCATAAAAAGGAATGAATGAATGGCATTCACAGTGACTTGGATGAGATTGGAGATTATTATTCTAAGTGAAGTAACTCAGGAATGGAAAACCAAACATCGTGTGTTCTCACTCATAAGTGGGAGCTAAGCTATGAGGATGCAAAGGCATAAGAATGACAGAACGGACATTGGGGACTCAGGGGGAAAGGGTGGGGGGTGCGAGGAATAAAAGGTTACAAATAGGATGCCGTGTATACTGCTCAGGTGATGGGTGCACCAAAATCTCACAAATCACCAAGAAAGAACTTATGTAACCAAATACCACCTGTTCCCCAATAATCTATGGAAATAAAAATATTTTAAAAATATAAATAAATGCAGGCTTAATGTGATAAAAAAAGAATTTTCAGATGTAGCACCTTCTTATATAGGACAATGCCATTTCTATGGTCTTGTCCTCACAAACAGATGACACATACTCATCGTAAGAGGAGAAAACTGATCATCTTAGACATTCTTTTTCCAAATTTCCAATTTCATATTCATGACTAACTTATTTAAACATAAAATGTTAACATGATTAAAAAGACTTAATGGTTTTCTGAGCAGCTTCTACAATGTCTACCTCATGCCTGCAGGGGAACTACTTCGAAGCATACAGAATTTTTAGACCTTATTATTGCAAATACCTTTTCCTGGGGAT
This sequence comes from Homo sapiens, assembly GCF_000001405.40. Classification (NCBI taxonomy): domain Eukaryota; kingdom Metazoa; phylum Chordata; class Mammalia; order Primates; family Hominidae; genus Homo; species Homo sapiens. Next base: position 180,219,583 of record NC_000004.12, on the reverse strand, counting down.
TTCTATGAACGAATGATTCTTTCTCAGTAGTACAAAAGAAAGAAACTATGAACTAATGATTCTTTCTCAGTAGTACAAAAGAAAGAAACTACTGTGCTTTTGATCAGTAGATCATTCTATTACTTACTATGCAGAAAAATGTGTTTTTAGTTTTGCTTAAAATTAGGTAATTTCATTCTTTATAATTATGATTTTAAAGAAGAAAGTAGCATCATTAGTCTTATACCAAAGCAAATGAAGTTTATATATTAACTAGCATCTGTTATTAAGTTAATAAGTAAGTTTTTCTAACTTTGCATTTAAAACCACTGACCAGATCTTTGCACAAAGAGAACACTTCCTTTCTTTATTACAATGTAAGAACTATATCCATTTTAATTATTGTCCAGCTTTCCACAGTTGAGTTACAGTGTTTTAAGCTGTGTTCCTGTAAATTCTTTTTTTTTTTTCTTTGACATGGAGTCTTGCTCTGTCGCCCAGGCTGGAGTACAATAGCGCGATCTTGGCTCACTGAAACCTCCACCTCCCACGTTCAAGCGATTCTCCTGCCTCAGCCTCCTGAGTAGCTGGGATTACAGGCAAGTGCCACCACGCCAGGTTAATTTTTGTATTTTTAGTAGAGACAGGGTTTTGCCACGTTGGCCAGGCTGGTCTCCAACTCTTAACCTCAGGTCATCCACCCACCTTGGCCTCCCAAAGTGTTGGGATTACAGGCGTGAGCCACTACGCCCCACCTTCCTGTAAATTCTTAAGTATTATCTTTATTTTGTTAAGTTTTGCAAGCTATGCATGTGATCACCATAGCCCTAGATGTCCAATCATCTTTCCAACTCTTCCTTTCTTCAATTACATATTAAACGCAAGGCATTCCCTGTAACAGAACTTTCACAGGATAAAGACATGTTCAGGTACACTGTCTAAAATCTTACAAGTAATAACTACTGATGGCCTATTATACAGCAGGCACCCTGTTAGTTAGAGGTATTATTTTTAATCTTTATAACCATTCTATAAAATTGACATTAATTCAATTTTATAGTGGCAGAATCTAATGGGTAGGAGGTTTTATAACTTGCTAAGTCTATTCAGTAATTGAGAGGTAAAGTTGAACTTTGGACTCATTTTAGAGTTGACCACAAACTCAGATGTCCCTTCTAATGCTAAAATGTAGAATTCTATCAATAAGATAAGTCCAGAAAAGCAGCAACAACAACCAAGCAAGTTACAAACAACAACAACGACAAAAGCAACATCATATGATAAATATACACAGTATGCTATAAGGGCACAAAAGAAAAGGAATGTAATTCTGGTTGGAGGCATATAGAAAGGTGTCTTGAAAATACACTTTTAAGAAGTTCCTTGGAAAATATGCTGGTAGCAATTAGAGGAGGATAGGAGAATTCAAAGGTAGAATCAATTATGGTCTGAAATAAAAGGGAAGAAGTGATCTGAAATGAAGGGGAAGAAAATGTTGATGAAGAGAACACAGTCTTGTTTTTAAAGCATGATAGCAGTCATCTTATTCTCAGTTTATCTTTAATAAAATCGTTTAAGCAAAAAATCATGATTTTATTCACTGGTATAAATATATTGTAGCGTACATTAAATTAAAGGTAAAATACTCAGTTTAGGTCCATAACATTTTCCCTTTGAAAATATAACCCTCTTTTGAAAACCATCACCTTCCGCTAGTTTCTTTCTAAGAACTTACATACTCCTACAGCTTATTTGGTATTGTTCTAAGCCAGTATCACATAAGGCACACAATTTGCTAAAAGAAAGAATGCAGAAAGGGAACTAAAATGATTAATTATCTAATGCATGGAGAAAGATCTGCACATTGCCTCCTGCTCTGGTCATGGAAGACGTGTCTGGGTCTCCTTTGCCTTCTGCCATGATTAAACCTATGTACAGGAGCAGGACTCTGAAGACACGCTGTGGCCCAGACAGTGGCTGATGAGCAGATGGAGTCTGCACCCATGCAATTTGGTCAAAGAAGCCCCCATACTCTCCATGAAAAAGATTTTCAGAAGCTATTGTGTCAATTAAAAAAAAGAAACAAACCATAAAACCACCGACACTGAAGATCATTTCTGAGTCTGATTTGAAAGCTGGAATCAAATTCTGCAGAGGCATTGAAGTGGCCAGATGCTACCCTAATAGCCAAACCTGCAGGTCCCCTCCATCATGCCAAGGAAAATGTTCCATTCACCATCTTCACCATTCCTCAGCTTCTGGCTCTGGTTTCAGAGTTCTCTCTGTATTGGAGGAGTTTTAAAGCTAGAGGGAACTTTACCCACTTCCTCTTATGTACAGATCTGAATATGGAGGTCAAGAGGGAAAGTGGCACGTCCTAAGTCAGAGTAGAGTCAACAAAAAAATAAGATAAACAATGACCCAGTCCCTGGTGTGTAGTGAGCATTAGCTAGATACAAGGGATATGGAGATGAAGAAAACAGAGTCCTTTCTTCAGGCAGCTCAATCTAGCAAGGTAGACAGACTTTTTGCAAGTAGGACCAGGCTTCCCTGCAGCAGAAGGAAACATGAAATCACGGTCATGAGCCTCACCTGGGATGGGCCACCATGTTGCCTTGAGAGGATCATGTGTGGACTCAGGACCATGGCGTGGCCCTGCTTTGACTCTCTAGCTCTGCTTTAGGGCCTGGTAGGATCTGGAGTGGCTTGAGCTAGGGGCTGCCATGAGCTCTTTCCACTTCCCCAAGGCATTGCATAAGTAATATCACTTTCTATTTGCACAGCAAAATCAGGGACACAGTTTTCTGGAACACAGGATACCTTCCCTATCCCCAGCAGATGGATGGTCTACCTTGTTGGTGGGCCATTTCTTGTGTTGGAGACGGAACACTCTGCAGAGTTCCCAGTGGTCAGCTGTGGCCCACACGCCACTGGCAAGGAGAGGCAGAGCTGCAGAGCTCTCGGGAGCCACGGAGGGCCTGCTTCCCACCACGAAATGCCTTCTGAGCTGCTGCTGGCCCACATGTGGGTGACAGTGCTAGTGATGTAGAGAATCCTGGGACTAATGCCTGCAAACTATGGATATCCTGGGTGATACGGTCGTGCACTGTTGTGGCGGCCTTTATAGTCAGGAGACGACATGCGGTGAGAAGAAGGGAAGAGCCAGCCCAAAGGGAGTCGGCCCAGGGTGAGATCATCAAGGCCAGAGTCAAGATTCAGCCAGCACCCCAGGGTGGTGGTGGCCTCATATTGCCCATGCCGCAGGCCAGTCCTCGATCACTCCAAACCCTCTACTCAAGGGTTCTCAAGGAAATAAGCAAGTCTTCCCATCAGGACTTCGGGGTGCCTCTGAAAAAAGCACAAAAACACAAATCTCCTGAACTTCCCCGAGTGACTGAACAAAGCGGGTCCCGCATGTTTCACAGCACGAGGGAGAAGATCTTCAGGGGCAAACTGCGGAGGATCTGAAGGACAGCACGGACTGTCAGCCACCTGCAGAGCTGCCCCACCAAGAAATTGTGAGATGAAAGCAACGTTTGCCAGAAAAAAGGCGAAGAAGGAAAGGCAGGAGCAGGCCAAGACTGGAATTAAGCAGACCACGAATGTTGAAGTGAGGTGATTGACCTCCCCGGGCCACACCCCGCCGAGCATCCTGCATCTGCTTGAGGGTGGGAGATCATGTGAGGATGGTAACTCGGCAGTGGAGGGGAACAGGGAAGCGGGACATGGTGGTTCCCCAGTGTCCTGGCCACAAGACCCTCCAAAGAGTGTGGATGATGATGGTGACTTAGATGTGTCCCTCGAATGTCCTGAGGGGGAGACTGAAGAAGCAGACATGCAGTTGTGAAAAGAAATCCAAAGGAGGAAAGAAGTCACAGCACAAGTCCAAAGTCTGACTGGACCAGCAGGGCTCTCTGCAGGGTGCAAGGACACAGCTGGAGAAGGAGCTCCTGAAGCTGCAGCTGAGGATCCCACTCCACCTGCACTGCACCAAGAACCCACAATGGGGCCTCAGCAGGAGTCCACGGAGGAGGACGCCCACTGCCTGCACCTCAACCAGAGACTTTTCAAGGTGCAAAAAAATTTGAAACGTGTGTGTTACACCCGCAACTACTACAAGAAAATGGCGCAGAACCACTACAAGAAGACCTGGCCCAGGAATTGAAGGAAGACGCTTCCAATTTTCATAGGGAGATCTTCTTCCATGAGAAAATGGCCCAGGAAGGCTGGATGGCCACAATGTCCACCAAGAGAGTGCTCCAGGTGCTCCAGAAAGAAAATGACCACAACACGCAGAAGCCAGATGACTGAGTTCCAAGTTCTAGCCTTTCCTGAGTGGCCCTTTGGATTCTGGGGTTTGACCCACAGCCCACAGGGGCCCAGAACCCCACAGGGGGTTCATGGGCCGCTAGGGCCACCAGGAGGGAAGCTGGTCACGGTGTGGGTATGAGGGCTTCTCTCCAGACCACCTGCCGGTTTGGCTTTGCTTTCCTTGTAGCCAGGTCCTGAATGTCCATGGACTCTACAGAACATCAGCTGGTTCTGCTCCCTTTAAAACACTTTCAGTTGATCTGTTGTTAGTTTAGCTACTGTTAGTTGATGCTAAAATTGCTCTTATTGAAGTTTGATTGATAGGACTAGGATTGTAAGGTATTATTTTTCAAATAAATATCTTTAAATGTTAAAAAATATAAAAATAAAATAAACTGAAAGGGCAAAAAAAGAGACAGATTTGCACAACTGATTTCTCCTTTAATTTTGTAAATTATTTTAAGGAGTAAGCATTATTAATCCGATTTTATGGTCTGCCACTGTGACAAAGGATCCTCAGGAAGTAGCAGAGCTAGAATGTGAACCCACATCTGACTTTTTCTTCTGCCCCTCCACGCCCAGCCCCAAGGGATGAATATAAAAGCAGGTTTTAAGAAGGAGCTGGTCGTTCGTGGAACCCTACTACAAAATTATTCAAAGTGAAGTTTCAAGACGTAAGGTGTAAGTGTAAGGAAGTAGAGGTAGTGAGTGTAATCTGAGAAGTTAGCCCTTAAAGGCAGGGATATCCTTGTGGGAGCAAGATAACTTCGGAAAAATTTTGAATTTGTGTTTCTTTAGTGTTGAGAAATACTTAGTATTTTTGTAAGCAGAGGCAAAGAAGCTGGTGATGACAGATTGCATATGTGAACAAAAGCAGTAATGACTGATGCACTTCTGTGCCTCATATTAGTTGGCATTGTTCTAAGAAAGTGCTTTAAGGAGTGACAAAAATATTTAACTGTTGTCTATTATGAGAACTATAGTTAGAGGGGCTATTTGTGTGATACATCAACCTGCATTTCTGGAATCATCAACAGGGAGATGAATAAAACTCAAGCACATAGTATGATGAATGTAGCAATACTTCTTAAAACCAAGAAGGTGTACCAGAAATACAATGTTATGTAAGAAATACCATCAACTGTATAACTACAGGATAAAGGAATGTTAATACATTTGAAGATATCAGGTAAAATAGTTACAGTATGAAGAAGCTATTTACTCTCATCAAAACTAAATAGTCCATAGGTGTGAAAATGGATCTGAGTCTTGGGACTGAGAGGAGGTGAGACAGGTTTTGTTTGAAGTAAGCTTCAGGAGCTGGAAAAGGGGAGGGTGGATCTAATGTGCTGGGCTAGTCAACTGAGGTAAGTCAGAAAAAAACCTGATTTCAGGGTTTCCTATTGCATCCTTATTTCTCTTTCTTATAGTATTTATGTCACCACCCTTTAGTTTTTAATTTACTTCTCTGTTCCCCTCTAAAGACTATAAATACTCTGCAAGTAGATATAATGGCATATATGTCTTTATATTTTTAGTGTTCCTTACAAGTCCTGAAATATAATTAGCAGTAACTGTTTGCTTTATTATAGGAAAGGTCCTATGGGTAACTAGATCTAATAAGACAGAACAAGTAAAGTGAAAGTTTGAAAAAAATGGCAGGGGAACACTGGTTCTTTTTCTCTAAACAACAACCTTGTTTATTATTGAACTACTAAATAGCCTCGAGCAGATGGAAGTGGATCTCTATTGCAGTTATGACATTGGAGGATAGGGTAGTGAGTAGGTGGGGGCACATTATGGGGGAATCCTTCAGAACTTAGCAGGATATAGAGAGCCCTTGATCTCTCTGTGGGTTTTCTAATCAAATATACAGATATTTGTGAATATAAACCCCCACACAGATACACACACACACACACACACACACATAGAGTTGCTGACCCCAGTTTCTTTTACTAACTGAAAATATTAATTAATCATTTCACAATCTGAGATGGGAGAGGCCTGTGCAGCTGCCGTATTCGATCCACATCACATGGCCTATGCGTTCAGCGTTGTCTGCCTTCCTTGCCTACCTTGACAAAGATACTTAAACAAGGACAGGTAATTGGCCAATTAGCTATCCAGTGATACATCCTTCATGTTCTATAAGAGAGAAAGTTCGTTAACTAATCCATGGTATGAAAAGGCCTTCAAGGGCTCTTTGATTCAGGACTGACCAAGCAGCAGCAGCAGAATAAAAGAGGAGACAGAGAGAATCAAAGAAACTGGAAACCATGTGGGTTGGGCCCTGAGAGATGGAGAGAGCACTGCTAGTTCCCAGTAGCACCTCCTCCAGTTTCCAAGAGACCTTTCCATTGTTCATATCCTGTGACACCCCATGATACTGCCTGTTGCCTAGTGTTTCCTTAAAGTTAAGCATCTTCTACTTGGGTTAGGTTTAGAGATTTTTTTGTTTGTTTGTTTCATAAAACAAATGATGGTGGAATAAAGTAGGCAAAAATTTCATGTCTTGCATAACATTTAGTAAATAGATTTCAGAAAAATAGGAAGTTGCAACATTTCATTTGGAAAGTTACAAGTCTTTTCTGACAGAGACCAGGAGGTCCTGCAAACAGCAAAACAAAGGTAAGAGTGAGGGTGAGGACAGCCATGCAATGGGAGAAGAAGAGGGCTTAGAAAATATATAGACATGAAACAAGAGACCAAAAGCATTTTATAAAGAAAAAAATATTTTGTAGATTGAAGAGTTTTGGCAACAATAAATCTTATTTACCTTCAGCAAGGATTGGGGAAACAGAAGTTGCTCATCATATTGCATTCTCAGGATGTCTGCAAATAAGGGTAGCTGCTTTACCTGATTTACGCAGAAACCTGACTCATATTTTTAGCAAAGTTATCATCTCATAAAATCATTCCACTCCCCAAATTATTAATCCTTTCTGGCATCACTCCTGTTAGTATACAGTGGATATCTCGCATCATTTCTCCTCCTAATGGCACCTTACATTTTTTGGGGGGGTTGGTGATCACTGCCCTGTGTGTAGCCTTGACATAAAAGCTATTTCTGGAACGCCTTTCCACTACGGAAGGCATGGGGGCTAGAGCCTTCTTTTGCTGTGGCATGTGTGTGTAACCTCAATTAGGCCACGAATGAGCTAAGGATATTTGCTGTAAGGTACACGGTGATTGTTGAGACAGTAGTGGCAATGACTGGGATATTTCAGTTTTCCAGAAAGTGTTATATACCCAGGCACCTGGGTTTCATCCTTGCATTCCACCATTCCTAAATTTGTTCATAAGCCCACCAATACCCTTTCATTCAATTATAGTTTTATTAGGTAGGCCCAACTTCACTTCCTTTTGTTACCACACACATACAACAGCATCTATAATTTTACTGGATTCTTTGAACCTTTTCACTCTTATTTTTTTTCTATCAAGAATCTTTGGAGAGATGTGTCATATCAGTTTTAGAAATGGACTTACTAATTTAAAGGACACTGTTATCTAAATCGCAGCGCACAATATCCTACAAGGTATGAGTATGACCTAGCCATAGTTTTCTTCCCTTTTTAATGGATTTACTTGGGTTTGTTGCTATTGAATTGTTTGAGTTCCTTGTATATTCTAGATATCTGTCTTTTTTCAGATGAGTATTTTACAGATATCTTCTCTCATTCTGTAGGTTTTCTCCTCACTCAGTTGATTATTTCCTTTGATGTGCAGAGGCTTTTTAATTGAATACAATCCCATTTGTCTATTTTTGTCTTTATTGACTTATGCTTTTGAAATCTTAACCATAAAATATTTGCCTAGATCAACATTCTGAAACATTGCCTCTATGTTTTCTTCTAGTAGTTTCATAGAAAAACTTTTATGTCTTAACTCTACTTTCAAGGAATAATCTTTTGGAAACAAGTTGCTTAAGAGTTTTATTCTGTACTACAAACAAACAAAAAAAAGGACATCTAACGCTTTTAGGAAATTTATGGATATCACATGGGGATGCAGACAAAGCCCGTGTGACCACAGAGGCAGGAACTGGAGCACCACAACTGTAAGCCAAGAGCAACAAGGCTTGCTGGCCGCCATCAGAGTTAGGAAGAAACAAAGAACGCTTCTCCCTTAGAGTTTCAGAGAGAGCATGGTCCTGCCAACACCTTGATTTTGACCTTCTAGGCTCAAGAACCATGAAACAAATTTCTGTTTTTTAAGCCACCAGTTTGGGATGCTTTGTTGTGGCAAACCTAGGAAACTAATTCATGCACATCTCCAAACTGAAATATTTTCTACATTCATTATGCTATTTCTTGTAATGTTTGTTCCCATCCACCCATCACTAGCAAAACATAGTCAGAAATTAGTCTCATTCTATCCCTTTGGAATAGCCTCTTCAACAAGTTAATTCACCATTCGAATAATCTTCTTAGTTTTAAGTCTTCAGGGCAAAGAAAAGAATGATTAAATATTTTTGTATTGTTAACTAACTATTGTATGGATTTCATTCTATCTCCATGAGCATATTGGTTTCTCACTAATAGCATAATCCTTTCAGATTACTTAATAAACTCATCAGGCATTCTATACAAAGAGAGTTAACCCTATTAGACAAACATCCCCAGAGAAAAAGTACTAGCTATGTACCTCAACTAAAATTTTAAGTCTCTTACCTCTGATATAAGATCCTAATCATTTTTTAAAATTGTGAACTTGTCACTGCTTAAGCATCTAGATACAAAGCCTATCCTATAAACACCAGACTCTATTTTCTGAGATATTTCCAGATTTATTAGTCTACCACCTCAGCCTACAAAAGGCTTATTCAAATATCAACTTCTGTAAATGACAGTCAAGTGTAAGAAAATAAATTGGTATGATATAGATGAGTTAATTCCTAACTTAAGATACATTTATACATTGCTTTTGTTGAATCTCAGTCCACTTTCCAATAAAACACAGTAATCTTCCACTAAATACATAAGAATCAAAGTAGTCAATTTAATTCAACTTTTATCAAGCACCTCCTAAGAACTGCAAAGCACTATTATAGACAGTGGCGACATCACACTGAATAGTGTCCCTGCCCTTGAGAAGTTCACAGCCTAGAAGTAAAGCCTGAGAACATGAGTTCAGAACTGAATTGCAGTCTCTACTCCGGGGTTCCTTGAGCCTGGACTGCAGCATGAATAGGGCCATTGAACGGTGTATCACTGTGGCCCAGAAAACAGGATCCAGTTCATTCAAGTCTGCCTCTCAGTGATCACGAGCAAGTTAAGTTACTGTAAGCTAGTGTTCTTATTTTTGCAAAAGTAAAATAATACCCTTCCTTGCAGGGTCTGTGTGACCCTGGCAGGGAAAGCTTTGCAATATAGGCACACAGTAGCTAGGCAATAAGTGACACCCAAGGGAGAAGAACAATCTCCAAACATAGTGAGTACTGAAAGTGTCAGCTAATATAGAAGGATTTAGATGGTATTTGAGAGCAAGTTCTAGGATATGCTATAGAAATCACACACTCTAGGTACTGGTGATGGTTGTAAACCAAGCATGATTCATTTTGTTGAAGATCTAGGAAAGTCAGCTATTGACTGCCTCTTCACAAAAAGACATAGTTAAAATATAAAATGAAGCTCTTGAAAAAAATCTTAGTATTATGCACTAATTTGGTTTATCTATTGTAGGGTTAACTCTATTACAGCATTTCCCAAAGTATAGTTCATGGAAATTAAAATGTGTTACTTTAAAAAGAATTATCAAAGTCAAGTTAAGTTTGGAAAGCACTGGGTTCAACAAATTACAATAGATTTTAGTGGCACAAGCCTTCTGAGACTCTTAAAACCAGGAAGGAAAAATATTGTTTACTAAGCATGTATGACCTAAGGGTGCTGTTTCTTGGCAGGGAGCCACAGGTTTTCAGGGGGCATACCACAATTCCTGCCAGTCTTTTCTTTCCTAGCACTCCCCACCAAGGCTGCACAGAACTTGCTTTGGGAAATGCTATTATATCCATATGAAACCTTGATGGTTGCCTAGGAAACAAGGCAAATATATGACTAAGATAATTCTAATCAAATCATATTTTGCACTAAAATATTGCCCAGACCATCACAGTTTTATTTTACATGTCACACAGTTAATATATTTTTACAATTAGTAATCCATTCTGATTGTCTTAATAATCATGATTTAAGTCATCCTATGATTGCCTATGACTCAGTTGTCTTTTGCTTGGCTCATGGCGAGGCATTAATCCATGAGTTAAATAAAAATTAACTATTTACCATATGATTATCAAAGGATATCACAAGGAGTTTTACTCTATATTCTGCATTTGAAATTATTTGAGTCTATCAGCTGACATAACAACGAAAGTATCAGTTTATTCCATTTTATCAGGAATAACCCTTGCCAAAACTGTGATGGAGACAAGGCTTTGATTTGGGCACTTTTAGCAAAATCAGATTTCCAGCACTTCTCCAGTTCCCTAGCATACTAAACTTTGAATTCCAAGGAGGGATACAGTATATCTTCCAAGTCACAACCACTCATATTAATGGCAGCCAATCACTACTAGTGACATATTTTGTTGACATCAGTTTTCTACATTTAAGGGCTTTCAAATTCTTAAGAAAAAAAATATATATCACCTCTGCTGAATTTGCTTGCATCATTTAGCGAATGTGTAAGGATTTGTGGAAACACTGAGTATTTCTAGTATCTCTGATATCACATCATATGAAAAAACAGATTTTCTTTTGTAATTTAAGTCTAGTCCTGAACTAAATAAAAATTAATTTTAGAAAATTTATCCCTAACTAATATAATATATACACATATGTAACGTTTAGTCTATCTATATATCATATGATATACATATTTAAATAACTGTATAATACCATAAGTAGATATTAACTTTATAATTATGATAATATAAATGTATGTAGGATGTTTCATTTCTTATCTCATAGTTTGATATTTCGCTATGTCTTTTTTTTTGGTGGATTTGTCAAGCTGAGTGTAGGAAGATTTGCTTCCCACACATAATAATCATGTGGTCACATTATTGTTTTATTAGTTTTAAATGACTTGGCTTTATTTTTCAGCTTATTTTTCTAACACAGTCTGTAAACAGAACAGTAACTGGCACATCATCAGTAGGGCTTTTCTTTATTTATCTCTAGTTTGAAGTTGTCTTTCTAAAAAACTGAAGGTATCTTCACTATTACATGTTTACACTATTACATATCACAATCTTTCCTCTTTAAACAAACCTAAATGTCAAACAATGCTTGTTGTTTGGAAAGAGAAGGCATTTTTCAGTGTCTAAGGTTAAGAATGTTAATTATCACCCATGGAGACACCAGTATACAGAGAAATGCAGAATTGAGCTGCTCCAAAGAGCAATATATTGCAGAGATAAGTACATACTAAAGAAAAGCAAAATTTCACAGTAGTTTTAACTTAGTTTGCATAGGTCTAATACCAAGATACCTTTCTAGATGTGTAGTTTTCCTTTAGAAACAACATTTCAGGAAACTAATAAGGATTAAACTAAATACCAAGAAGTGGACATATGCAGATTGCTCCATTGTTCCTTATTCTTTCCACTAACTGAACAAACTTGTTTTACTCTGTTTACATTAAGTTATTGACTGTCTGAATCAGGACTACTTAATTATATACAAAAATTACAATAAAATATTATTAGCTGTGGAATTTTAGTTGAATTGTTAGTTAAATTATTCATTCTATCTGTGTCATATTTTCCTCAAGTAGATGCATTGAAAGTAATTACTTCCTTGGGCTATGTCATAATGACACTCAGTACATGATAGCTTCTACTTGTGGAAATGTTTCAAGAGTCTTTTTTTTCAGAAACCATGCTATAGTGAGTATATCTGTATGAAAATGACCAGAGTGATCTAAGAATAATTGTATTGTCATATTTAATACTAGAAATAATCTATTTCAGACAGCATACTGCCTGTGGTTGTATAATAAATTTAATTCCATTGAATTATTTTAAAATATGTTCTCCATTCTCAACATAAATAAATATTATATAAATATTATTTCATTAAATAAGTAGATAAAAAACTAAATTGCTCTTTCTAAAGCACAGCTTACTCTATATAACTTAAAGGTGCATCTTAATTAAATCAGAAAGTAAATATGTCTATTGGTGACACATGGTTTTTAGCATACTTTTTATGTTTTCCAACAATCAGTATTTAATTTGTGGTTTGTCATTTCTCTGATAATGTATTTTAATAATTGATAACTAGTCTCTTTTACGCTGAGGAATCTTTCAAATAAATGAGTTCTCCGAATCCTTCCAATTAGATGTCATAATGCTAGATAACAGATATACTATATATATATATATATATATATATCTCCATGTATTTATACTAATACACAAATATTTTGTAAATATAAAGACATTTTCATATGAATGCTAAGTAATGACATAAAAATGACATTTGCATAAGAATATATGAAACACTGCTTATTGATTCCCTTAATTTGAATACACACTTAAAATTTGATTAAGAAGTTTGTATAAAAAAATGCCTGGTTGAAAGTACAGATTCACTTGATGCAATTAAATGAATATATTCACAGTCTCATAAAAAGCAATCGTTGGTTTAACTTACCCCAAACTAAGGGCATGTTTTGTTAAAAGTATTTAACTATGATTAGCAATATATGCCTGGATATCACCTTTCCATTGAGTTGGCTTGTAAAATCTTTCTTAAAATGACAAAAAAGGCAACTATGTTTTCTCTTCTTGTGAGAGACTGTCAATATCCCACTTATGCTAATGAAATAAAATATAATTTTCAGTGCTAGCTTCTTAAAACCAAGTTTTCTTCCAGCTATTTTAGTATTTCTGCAAGTATTAAACATGCATTTTTTTTTTGACTCAAAGCCATTAAGATGAACGCTTTAGCAAATCAAGTATGTGAGAATTTATAAAGCTCAATTCACAGTTAATACAAAATCTCAATAATAAATTCTATGTATTCACAGAACACAGCTACATTACATAATCTTAGAGCTTCAACTTTTGGCCAGATTGGATTCCTGGACTAATAAAATGGGTAATATAACTAAATAAATGTTAGCAGATATTTACGTAATTTTATAAAGAAATACAAGCACATGTTGGTTGATGCACATCAACATTATTTTATATATGTATGTATGCATATATTTATCTACATATGGGTACATTCATTATATTCTCTCTAATTTGACATTCTTGATTATTTTCTAAGTAAATACTTCGTTTTTGCTTAACTTTTCTAAACTTAAATATGGTAATTTTAACTCAGAAGCAAGCAATTATTTTAAAAGGTTAATGTACAAGAAAATGGCAATAAGTATTTTATAAGAAGTAACTTAATAAAGCATTTTCAACTGTGACAACTGGGAGGTTACATTCGTACGACCACATGTGGCCTGCCATTCAGTTTTCATTCACCAATGAGAAAATTACAGATTATTTAGGGATATTTGTCTGGTCAAGATCAAACTGCAAATGACAGAAACCTTGTGGAGGTGGGATTTCTGTAGGATACATAATGGAGTGTCCATGCGTTCACACTGCTGGTTTGGTCACTGGCAAGGCTAGCGTGCAATCTAGTTTTGGCTTTCTATTCCCAACTCTTTCACTTATTCTATATTTCTTCTTTTGATGCAGTGACATATGTTCGAATACCAGAAAAGTGATTTGCTTTCTCAACTTTTATTTATAATGACAAAAGAAAGCTTTTCAAATGGTGATTTAGAGAACAGATAATCGGCTTGACTGTGAACCTGAGTGCAGATGTCCTCAGACAAGAATAAAGACTGTTAGGTACAAAAGCCCGACTGCCTTCTATTAGCTTCTTAGGTATTTGTTTTAGACATTGCTTTCTAATCACACATTAGTTCTCCCCAGTGCCATCACTTTGGGTGTCAATTGAGCTATGTTTACAGAAATAAAGATGCAAACTAAATATTATGAAACTTTAATTCAATTTGAAATATATGTGCTGCCAGGGCAACCATGCTAGTGCTGGTTTGGCTGTATTTAATCATAAAACCAAGTTTTCTATGTATTGAACTTCTTCACAGAATACTGTGTGAACCCCTTTGTGCACAAGCATGCTTGATTAATAAATAACCGAATATAACAAAAAAATGTATGAGGAAATGTCTTACGCTCTCTGTGAAATTGAAGACAGTAGGTCATCATTCCAGGTGAGGTTAATGTCCGGGAAGGCAATTCACATGGTAATAATAGCTCACAGCGGCATGATATTTTTCAACGCAACCCAACTCCATGAAGCTTTCTCCTCCCCTGTCTCACCTCCGCCCGTGTGCCGCCCTGAACCTACCAGCAGCACCGAGGACTACACTAATTCTGATATCTTAAACATTCTTCAGCCATAAAACAGAATGAAGTCCTGTTATCTGCAACAACACGGATAGAATTGGAACTATGTTAACTGAAATAAGCCAGGCACCAAAAGACAAATTTCACATTTTCTCGCTCCTGTGTGGGAGCTAAACATTTTTTAAAAACTGAAATCATGAAGATGAAGTATAATAAGAGTTACCAGAGCCTGGAAAGTGTAGAGAGGTTCGGGGTTACAAAGTGGGAGTGATTAATTGGTACAAAAATTCAGTTAGATAGAATAAATAAAATATAGTATATGGTAGCACAATAGGGTTAACATAGTTAACAATAATGCGTTGTATATTTTTAAATAACTAAAAGAGTATAACTGGAATGTTCCTAACACAAAGAAATGAGAAATGTTTAAGATGATGGATACCCCAATTACCCTGATTTGATCATTACACATTGTAGGCCCCTATCAAACATCACATGTACCCCATAAATATATACAATGATCATGTACCTATAATAATTAAAAATTATTTAAAAATGACCTAGTTTGAAAAAGAAACCAACCTCATGTAATCGTACCTCAATAGTTTTTGTCTTTTTTTTGTTTTTTGTTTTTTTTTGAGACGGAATCTCGTTCTGTCACCCAGGCTGGAGTGCAGTGGTGTGATCTCCTCTCACTCCAACCTCCACCTCCTGGTTTCAAGCAATTCTCCTGCCTCAGCCTCCCAAGTAGCTGAGATTACAGGTGCCCTCCACCACACCCAGCTAATTTTTGTATTTTCAGGAGATGCAGGGATTCACCATGTTGGCCAGGCTGGTCTTGAACTCCTGACCTCAGGTGATCAGCCCACATCAGCCTCCCAAAGTGCTAAGATTACAAGGTGTGAGCAACCACACCCTGCCAGTTTTTTTTCTTTAAACCAATCTAGGATTATCTTACTGTCTTTATTTTCCTCCACTTGCTTCTCATCCACTTCCATGACATATACAACTTTCTGTTAGATTTAGACGGAACTTCACTTAGGTTTAGATAGGTATCTTCATTCATTTTGACAACGAAATAAAAGTATGCATTCCCCGCTTTGCCCTCCACCATCCATCTAAGCACCTAAGGTCGCAATTTGGGTTTCATTTCTGGCTCCTCTCTCCATCTCAATAATTTCTATTAAAAAAAAAAGCATCTTATTCCCTTACTTAAAGTAATCCCATGATATTCCATAGTCTTCAAGATAATCTTGAAACTATTTAGCTTAGCTGTACTGTGGTCTCATCTCTCATTTCTCTCTTCATGCTATGACCTCATGTGGGATTCTCACATGGGCTTCCCTCTCACTTTCACACACTTACATATGCTGCTTTTTTTGCTTGTGGCCCGCTTCCTCCTCCCTCCTACTCTTTTCTCAGAAGTCTTCCACACCAGAAAGTCTGTGTAGACCTCCCCTGCCCCCTCCACACACCACGCAAACCCACATGTCTCTTTCCATAGCACCCACTACGAAAGGACTTATCACAAGCTATTGCAATCATCTGCTTCATTCCACGATTTTTTTTTCCTGATTTAACACTTTGGAGAGAAGAGGCCACACATTCCCACTCACGTCTCTGGCATCTAGTATACAGTAACTAATATCAAAAAAATTTCCAATAAAGGTCCATCCTCAAAGACTAAGAGGTCTCAACTCAGACAGTACCCCCAAAAAAAGACGTGTTTCACTGTCCATCTCTCAAGGAGATGTTGTTTTGTTAACCTTTCTGGCAGAAACAAATGTGTCCCCTGAGTAGCTCTAAGTGGTATTTGGCAAAGCACGTCCCTTCAAATACTGATTTTCATACCACGAATAATACATGCCTAGGTAAGATATTTTTTTAAAACTGAAGTATTATTTTCATAGAATAAGATAGACTGTGGCTTTAAATGACTTTTTCCCAATATTCTATCTTTATAATCTGCAGAGTTGCAGTCATTTTTCAGACTCTGAGTGAGTATGCCTTTTCTCCCTTTATCTTATGTCTCTTTCTCATTCCCCATCTTGCAGCTGTCTTGAGTTAGACCCTATACTTGGTTCCCTAGTTATCAGCATCGAGGTAACTACAATCCACATTAAGCATATTATAGAAGAAAATTACTGCTATGGAAAAAATGTCCCGTGATATCAGTGAATACATGAATAATATATAAAGTCAATATAACAATTGCAGTCTATTCTCTTTATAATGCAGTGTTATTCTAATTTTTTCATTAACAGAAGTGCGGCTCTCAATATATAGAGATGATGGATTTATTTAAAGTTTAAAAACTTAAGTAGGCCGAGCGCTGTGGCTCACGCCTGTAATCCCAGCACTTTGGGAGGCCAAGACGGGTAGATCACAAGGTCAGAAGATCAAGACCATCCTGGCTAACATGGTGAAACCCTGTCTCTACTAAAAATACTAAAAATTAGCTGGGCACCTGTAGTCCCAGCTACATGGGAGGCTGAGGCAGGAGAAAGGCGTGAACCTGGGAGGCAGAGCTTGCAGTGAGCCAAGATTGCGCCACTGCACTCCAGCCTGGGTGATAGAGTGAGACTCTGTCTCAAAAAAAGCACAAAAACAAAAACAAAACCAACATTAAAAACCTTAAGTAATAACTTTGGAATATAAGCCGTTATATTCCTTAACCAGTATTTTTGTTAAGACTAGAATTTAACTCTTCTAGTTCTTAGCATTTAAACTTGTTCTGTTTCCTCATAAGAAATATTTAAACATTACTCTCATACTGTCTTATGTAAAACTTTATAGTATTTTTTCCCTTAGGAAAATAATCCCTAGATTGTTTGGCTTTATTTGGGGCAAAACAGCATTATTATCCTAACATTATTTTGGTTCCTTTATTTTAAGTATTTTTTGAATTTATATTATAATACATAATGAAAGTAAACAATTTACTGGCAATTATTATTTTGTAATATAGTTTTCTGATACTATACAAACTAATTGTAGGTACTTGTGATTTGAGGGACAATGAAATGTCCCATTGCAGAAAGAATTCCCCTTGGTCCCAGGAGCCTTCCTTACTCCTGATGAGCTCTCTGTCATCTGTATTTCTATGCATTTAGCTGGGGTAAATAATTATGCTGCTTAAACATTATAATTAGTTTGTGGTTATAGTAATATCTCTTTTAAGAAAACAAATCTCTGAAGAAAAGAGGAAAATGTAGGATTGCAAGATGGAAAGAAGAAATATTCAAAGAAGAGAAGAAAACTTTGTCCTTAACTAACTTCATGGCCTAGAACGAAAGGCTGAGGAGCTAAAATGCTGAAAAACAAAGAAAGAAAAAAAGCTTATTAAAATGTTCTAACTTCCATCACTTACAAATTCTGATTAAGCTGCTCTATATGGAGTAATATTGTAGGAGCTTTGTTTTTATTGACACTTACTTAGTCAAAGCATCTTTTCTTTAGCACTTACAATTTCTTTTCAGGATTAGGCTTATGGGTGAAAGCCCATTTGCATGAAAGCTAAGTTAAAAAGATAAGCTATGAGGATAGCATTTGTAGGGTAGTGAATTTTATTTTCTCTTCAATATGTACAATACATTTAAGAATGTCTCTGTAATACGTGCTTTATTGAGCAAAGAAACAGCCAATGCATTAGTAGATGTACTTGCTTGAAATATTGATGTTGTTTAAAAATAGTTTTGTGACTGACAATTTATTGAATGAGAAACCACATTATGTTTTTATGCATGATTAAAAATCTCTTAACAAACTACTTAGCTCAGAGAAGTGGGAAGTGGAAATTTTCCAGAAAGAACAATGTGCCTCCTACAATAGAAATTCCTGAAGGAGCTAGTACAATGATAAACACAAGGACATAAATACTTGTATTTCATCTGTCTTTGCTTAACCTAGGATTTGGAGGGCAGGGGGAGCAGGACTGAGCATGGTGGCTCACTCCTGTAATCTCAGCACTTTGGGAGGCAAAGGTGGGAGGAATCCTTGAGGAATCCTTGAGATCAGGAGTACAAGACCAGTCCTGGCAACATACCACGACCCCTATTTCTAAAAAAAAATAATAAAAAAAAAAAATAGAGAAATTAGCCAGGTATGGTAGCATGTGCCTGTAGTTCCAGCTACTCGGGGATCTTGGGTGGGAAGATCCCTTGATTCCCTGAGCCCAGGAGTCCGAGGCTGCAGTAAGCTATGATGGCACCACTGCACTCCAGTCTGGGTGACAGAATAAAACCCTTTCTCCAACAAAACCCCAAAAACTTCAGTTGAATAATAGCTATCACTGATAAAATTTTAGTAATGCCATTGGTAAGCCTAAAAAGTATATATAAATAATAATTATTTTAATTAAATGGCTTGCTAACATCTTACACTAATACATGTTAAGATAATTCCCATAATAGGATAAATCAATTCTGCAGGAGTGAAAAATACTGGAATCAAGGCCTTTTTAAAGAGTTAACATTTCCAGCCTCTACTACAGATAAACAGCAACATTATAAAATAAAATATGCAAAGTAGTACTGTTTGAAAGATGGACAAGACATTGACCTTCCACTTGTAATGATATTCATGTTGTTTTATGTTGTCACTTAACCTAATAAGAGGAATATTGAATAGATGGCATTATTTTCATTTTCTGATAATAAGACTGAAATATAGAAAATAAATGATTATCTCATTGATATAACAATTCATTCAACAAATAGGCATTGAGTGCTTACCATTTTCCAGGCGCTCTTCAAAGAGCTTGGTTCTTGACAAAGAACACCACAGACCCATCCACTACCCATTCAGAATTTATATAGAATATGTGCCCATGATTATCTAGGTGAATCAATGCAACAGTAGCTCTGATGTCCAGATTTCCTAGTCTATTATTTTGTGTACAGATCCTCTAACCACTTAGAAATAATTTTTAAAATATATGTACCAACAGTAGTACCATTAATTGAAAAGTTATATTTAGCATATCCAGTAACCTTAACAGAATACATACTAAACAGTGTAGTTTTAAAATTATATTTTGGGCTAGCTTATTTAATAGCTATAGAATGAGTAAAACGTCTGTCTTTACAGTGAATGATTTATAATTTACCAAGGCTTCTAAAGAAATGGTTTATTTTAATAACACAAATCAGTTTATGTGTAACAGGGTAATCATTATCTGCATAAACTTCAGTAGCCTCACAACAAATATAGAATCAGTCCTCACGCAGATTTATCCTGGGTCAGAATCCTCCATCTATAAGTTATTCAACAAATATTTCATAGGCATCTATTACATGACAGGGACTGTTCTAGTCACTTGAGATGTATCAGTAAAGGAAAGAGACAAACACCTCTGTCCTTATGGAGTGACATTGCAGGAAAGGACAAAGACCACAGGCAATAATCATATTAAATAAGTAAATCATACAATAAGAAGGTGATGGATGCTATGGAGGAAAGCATTTAGAGCAGATGAAGGAAATCAGGTGTGCAAGGCAGACGGGCAGATTCCAGTTTCTAAAAGTTAGTCGGTGAAAGGCATCATTGCAAAGGTGACATTTGAACTAATACTCGAAAGAGGTGAGGCTGTCAGTCTTGCAAATATTTTTTGAGTATGGTGTGAGGGAGGAATCTTATTTCTTTCTGTTTTTTTCATATTGCTAACCAGTTGCCTTTATGTCATTTATTCTCTCCTGAACAACAATGCCAATTCAAGCATACACGAATTTTCCATATGAAAGTGGGTCAGTCTCTAAAATGAGATGTTAGGAGCACGTGCCCCATAGGGTTGTTGTGAAGCTTGAATGATTCCTATCACATAAAATGCTTAGAACAGTGTTTGATAGACAGTAAGTAAACAGAAAAGGTTCACTATGATTATGATGGTTGGTGTTTGTGCTATTAATATTTTATACAAGAAAAATATTTTTCTTTATTGATCCCATCTTCAGCTTCCCACCTAAACTCTATTTTTTTCTGTAATTTGTCTGCAAATTCTGTTGTATTTTCTATATATATAATTTTGTTATCCGAAAATAATAACATTCCATTTTCTTCCTTTCCAACTCTTATATATTGCATTTAATTTGTTTACCTCAATACTCTTGTTAAGACTTTCTGAACAAAGCTGAATAGTCACAGGAAAAGTGTGCATCATTAAGTTTCATGTCCTTACATTTTAGTTATACTCCTTGTAAAAAGCACCTATATAGTTGAACTTTTTAAAAAATTGAATTCCACAAATCTCTGTCTTTATGAAGACATTTAGTCAATTTCCAATTATTAGGTTTATCAATATTTTTTTCTCTGCTGAATTGGAAATTATAAACTCAATAGTTGTTGTATGGTTGGTTATCCCCGAATTAATTTTAAAAGTCTAGAATTAGTTAACATCTTTCTATCTATACTGAGAACCAGTGAGATGTCAGTACACTTTAAATGTAAATATCCTTCATCTGACCTACATGACATTATATCTAGTACTTAAGCACAAAAAAGAATATAAATTGGCATTGTTATTGTTTCATAAATATAACATTTGCTAAAATATATAACAGCATCTTGGCTCATCATTTTTAGAAACTGCCTTAGCAAAATTTGATTTCGATAGATAGAACACTCTTATTTTTTACTCTGAACAAGCCTTGTAACTTACTCATTTAAAAAAAATTGCTCAGTACATAATTTAAGTATATTGTTTGAGGCTTTAAATATAATTAGTACTTTAGTATGTTCTCTTTCTTTAATGAAGTACTTAATTAGCTTTAACTCATTCATCTCTCAGATAAAGTTACGATTTTTAACACTTAATCTTTCTTGAAACAAGCATTTATACTAAATGAACAGATAGTAAACATCAATAGCAGTGAAAATTTACGTGCATATGTGTTTGTGCGTATATCGGAGATTATGTTCCCATGTGAATGCATTTTATTTAATTTTGTAACCAAGTATTTTAACTTTGAAATTCATTTTAAACCTTTTTTTTCCTTTTTTTCCTCTCAAGTCTTAAGATGTAACCTTGAAACAGATTGTAGAAACATTTTTTCTTAGCCTTGAGATAAAGCCTTGAAATGTACTTCGAAACTCTGCTTCCCTGTTTCCCAGCAGACAGTCCCTTGCACCATGCACACTTATCTAACTGCATGCTTGTTAAGAAATTCCAGGGCCTAATTTTATAACAAGCCAGGCAAGGAGGCCCAGCTGCGGAATTCTCCCCAACGAGGAGATTGCCTCAGGACAGATAATCTACCACCCAGCCACAACCGAGATGGTCCAGCCAGCACTCCAGGTGGACGATGACTCAAGATAGCCTTTGGAACAAGATATTCAGACCTGCATCCTGCGTTTCTCCTGCTGGTTTCCATACCAAGTCCCTCCCTTTTAAACCCCTTCTCCCAAGACTAACATTTGAAGTGGTCTTTTGGAGGCAAGAACCTGACCATTTCCCAACTGCTAGCATTTGAATGAAGTTGCTTTCCTTTCACTACACTTTGCTTCTTGTATTCTGGCCCTCGAGCAGTGAGCAGCTGGACTTGCATTCAGTTACAATTCTAAAAGATTAATTTTGACAGCTTCTTTACTAAACACACATACACACAGTCCCTGGGATTTTAAAATAACTGTTATATTTGCCTTTTTTAACCTTTCTAATTGGATAGAATTATTTATATAATTATATATACAAATCTTAGATTCAGTGTGAAAGAATACGTTACTTCATTTGGAAATCTTTCTTGTATTACTTTTGTAATCTATATGTTATGTGATGGTATATAATTCCTAATTCTGAAGTGCATGGCTTTTTCACTCTGGAATACTCC
Organism: Homo sapiens; assembly: GCF_000001405.40. Lineage (NCBI taxonomy): Eukaryota > Metazoa > Chordata > Mammalia > Primates > Hominidae > Homo > Homo sapiens. Next base: position 180,197,080 of record NC_000004.12, on the reverse strand, counting down.
ATCTTTCTTACAGGTATACAGCTTATTATTATTATTATTATTATTATTATTTGAGACAGAGTCTTGCTCTGTCGCCCAGGCTGGAGTGCAGTGGCATGATCTCGGCTCACTGCCAGCTCTCCCTCTCAGGTTCATGCCATTCTCCTGCCTCAGCCTCCCGAGTAGCTGGGACTGCAGGCACCCGCCATCATGCCCGGGTAATTGTTTATATTTTTAGTAGAGACAGGGTTTCACCATGTTAGCCAGGATGGTCTCGATCTCCTGACCTCGTGATTCGCCTGCCTCGGCCTCCCAAAGTGCTGGGATTACAGGTGTGAGCCAGCTCATTATTTATTTCCAAGCATACTGGCTTCTGAACGGTACTTTATAATAAATGTTTGTGAAGTGAAGGATAAATAAATACATACATTAATATTTCAAAGTCATTAAAGTCTCCAAAATTAAGAATACAGTAACTACATGTGGTTTCTATTTATGAGTGCTTATTTCTATGGTTAATAACAATTACTTTTTAATGAAAAATTGACCATATATGGATTGATTGACTATATGTATATAAATTGATATAATGCCCTAAGATCCAAGAATCAGTGATTCAGTATATTGCAAACTGCACTACATAAACTTTTAAAGAATTTAGGATTATTCTATTTAACTTGATTTAATAACTGAGTTTTTAGTATTAAATGCCTTATCTGATTCTTAGCATTTGCATGCCATTCTTTCCAAAAGTTAAATTTATTTGCCTCCCATATGCAAGTGTAGGATAGTTCTAGCCTCCAGAAAAAAAATCTAACATTTCAGCAGAAGAAATTTAAGGAGCACCTCACCAATATTAGGCAATACCCTGACTACTAATAACTCCAACTTGTGCTCATCCTGGTTACCCATTTTGCTGCTGACATTTTGTTCCTACCTTGTATTCTCTTTTAATAACCATAACCTTATCTAAGAATTGGGTTTTGAATTATTTATTGCTTTTGATAAACTCAACTCCTCTACTAAGTCTGTAGAAGACTGTCCCTGTCCCTGAACTAGGCCTATGGCTGTGACACTCTCCTTAAGATGTTTAACAGAATCCGTTCCTCCTGAAACTCAGTGGGGTTTGGAGTCAGACACACCTGAGACAGAATTCTAATTTAGTTTCTTTCAAGGTAATTTCTAATTTACTTTCTTTCATTAATGCAGATCCATTTATTAAATTACTTGAACTCCAGTTTTCTATAAAAGAAAGCAGTGTAAAAGATTGTTTCTACAATCGCTATTAATTATAACTATAGTAGTACTGCTTATAACATGGTAGGACCTATTTTAAGCATTTTACATGTTGATAATTGCATTCTCATAACAACATTTTGAAGCAGATATTCTTAGGAATTTTTCAATCACCAAATGAGATAACCTATGTAACTTGGCTGGAATATAGTAAACATTCAACAGTTTAATAAATGTTATTCCCTCTTACTTAAACAAATGAACTGTATTTGGCAAATAGGTAAGTCTGTACATTATCAGACTTTGAACAATCAAAAATAAATAAAACATCCACTTAAAAAACCAAGTATTTTCCCTCCTATTTTTTTCCATTTTAATCTCTAAATTTCCACCAGCATTTTTCTGACACACATGCTAATATTTCCTCATTAGCAACAGAACACAAAAACTACATAAAATAACTTTTCTTATGTTTGTTATCTTCTGTAACTCCCATCCTCACTGAATTCCCTTCTATTTGACAGTAAAACTTCTAAAATAATTTGTATTTTATTCCAGCTGCTATCCTCTTCCATCAATTAGCTCAAGCCTTGAGTCTTGACATTTCCCAGAGAGTCTACGAGAATTTCTTTCCGAAGTCATGGAAGAAACTTTAAAAGCAGTGGGTTTTTCGTTTCATTTTTCTTAATGCAAGTGTAGAATAGTTGAAGTCTCCAAATAGCGACCCTGCGTTCCTTCACTGCATGGGCTTCTGTGACGCTACTCACTTTCCACCTTGTCTTGCTTCTCTGGCCACACCTTTCCTTGGTCTTATTACCGCTTTCTCAGTGAAGCTATTCTCAAGGATTATCTTCACATTTTCTCACTTTTCCTCCTACAGTCTATCTTTCTTAGAGTTGTAACCATAATCTCTGTAATTTCTAAAACACTGCCTTCATTTGTATCTCTCATGAGACTTTTTTCTGTTTTTAAATAAATGTTTCCCCACTCCTTTGGTTGACCTTATTTATTTACTTATCTATTTATTTATTTTGAGATGGATTCTTGTTCTGTCGCCAGGCTAGAGTGCAGTGGCGTGATATCGGTTCACTGCAGCCTCTGCCTCCCGGGTTCAAGCAATCCTCCTGCCTGAGCCTCCTGAGTAGCTGGGATTACAGGCACCCGACACCACACCCAGCTAATTTTTGTAGTTTTAGTAGAGACGGAGTTTCACCATGTTGACCAGGATGGTCTTGATCTCCTGACCTCGTGATCTGGCCACCTCGGTCTCCCAGCGTGCTGGTATTACAGGCATGAGCCACCTTGCCAGGCCTGGTTGACCCTTAAGAACCACTGCTTTCTGATTCTGACTAGATTATTCATCAGTCTCCAAAATCTCTGAACCTTTGGTTGCGTGTAATTTCTTTCTCCCATCTCTGGTCATACAAGTAAGCCCACCTTTGGGGCACGTAATTTGTAGTTCACTCGGTATACATTCCCATCATTTTACCAGTCTCATCAGATTCACTGTCATGACCCTTAAAAGGTAAAACTTCACCTTTCCAAAGTCTCTTATAGGAAGGGATGATCATATGACACATTTCTGAAAAATGACAGAAAACTGGAAATGTGCCAGGCATAGGAGGGCAAATTTGCTCTACTAATACAGGTGTCAAACTTCCCATTTCCTTTTTCTCCCCTGCTGTCTAAATAATGTTGTAATGGCTGGAGCTTCAACATCCATCTGACAACATGAAGAATAGAGAAAGGAAATTTAGCCCTAGCATCCTCAAGCTGGTGAACCAAAGCCAGGCACCATCTGGCTGTGAGCACTTTTTATAAGAGAAAAAATTTCAGCGAAATTTTTAGCTGAAATGTGTCACATGCAGATCAATGCAATCTCTAACGAGCATAGTACCCTTTAGTATCCAGCTTAAATTCTGATCATTTCCCTCCAGCCCAAAGTCATTGCTCCCTCTTAAGTTTTCTTCTTTTCATGTAGGAAAAGATACACTGGCTTTGTCAACAGGGACCAGAATTAGGATTCTGCCACTTAGGTGCTAACCAGATTATGCAATTTATTCTTTGTTCTTCTGTACGCGCTTTTCATTTAGAATGAACAAGAAACACCTGGAAGGTCTAATGTTAAGGGATGAAGGAGAAAATGGAAAACTGCATGACATTTAAAGGAATCTTCCTAAGAAAGTCATGGAGTGAGCCATATAGACATGCTTTTCTTAGGAAACTCTGCCAGATACAAGCTGCTTAAGGGTAGGTAGCATTTCACATGTAAAGTGGGGGTAACAAAAAAATTTTCTAATAATTTGTTTATATTAACTTACTAATATTAATTGACAGTTGATTGTATGTCTAGCACTGTCCAAGTTAAAGATATAGGGCTGGGCATGGTGGCTCACGCCTGTAATCAGCACTTTAGGAGGCTGAGGTGGGCGGATCTCTTGAGGTCAGGAGTTCGAGACCAGACAGGCCAACATAGTGAAATCCCGTCTTTGCTAAAAACACAAAATTAGCCGGGCATGGTGGTGGGCACCTGTAATCCCAGCTACTTGGAAGGCTGAGGAAGGAGAATAACTTGAACCTGGGAGGCGAAGGTTACAGTGACCCGTGATCGTGCCACTGCACTCCAGCCTGGGTAACGGGAGCAAAAATCCATCTAAAAAATTAATTTAAAATTTTTTTAAAAAGATATAGTTTAATTCTCACAACAATGTCATGCATTAGGAACTACTATCTTATTGTTAAGAAACAATAAATGAGGAATCAAGATATGTAATTTGTCCAAGGACACAAAGTCAGAGTGCTCAGTCATAAAATTATGATCCCACCACTCATTTCATATTACAAAACTTATTAGGTAAATGCAAAGTATTGGGAAAGCATCATGTTTCTTGTGGCATTTTCTGCCTCGTAACTCTGAATCACCATCCTTGTCAATCAGGCACCATGTACCTTATCTTGTTTGTTTAACAATTTATCTCTTTGAAGGCCGATGACTTCAAATTACCCTATTTTTGCATCTCCCAGGGCCTTGCACAAAAACATTCAGTAAATTTTCCTGACTAAATAAAATGCTACATTAAAAATCCAGAAAATTGTGGTATCTTAAAAATTATAAATTTTGAAATCTTGACCATGATTTATTTCTCATATTTTTTCATTAGCATATATATATATATTCATTAATAGATGTAAAATTTTCTTAAAGACTCTGGTCACCAGTAAATCCATATTTAAAAGATATTTGTTCATGTCAAATCAATTGAACTATTTTCTATATTTTCTCAATGTTTCCTCTTGCTATAAAATATTTTTCTGGTGGTGCTATATTGTATGAGTGTATCATTTGACACTTCAGAGTAAATAGCAACATTCTAATAAAAAATAAATGTAATAGAATTAAATGAATTTATTATACAGATAGGTCACAGTGATGTGGGGATGACATAAATTGATTTTTTAAAAATTTTTCTGGTTAATATTTAAAATTCTTATGTGTTTTATTAAAGCTACTAAGTTTAATATATGCAACGCAATATGGAGTAAAATGATTTTAGCCTTAAAGAGTGCTTTTTGGGCTGGGCACAGTGGCTGACACCTGTAATCCCAGCACTTTGGGAGGCCAAGGTGGGTGAATCACCTGAGATCGGGAATTCAAGACCAGCCTGACCAACATGGAGAAACCCCATTTCTACTAAAAATACAAAATAAGCCAGGTGTGGTGGTGCATGCCTGTAATCCCAGCTACTTGGAAGGCTGAGGCAGGAGAATCGCTTGAACCCGGGATGTGGAGGTTGTGGTGAGCCGAGATTGCGCCATTGCACTCCAGCCTGGGTAACAAGAGCGAAACTCCATCTTAAAAAAAAAAGAAAGCTTTTTTATGTATGACTATATGCTTTTGTTTAAAGATTATGTAAAATCTTTTGTATGATGGCAACATCTTCAAATTTGTCTGAAGAGTGGCTTTCTTGGAATTTAGACTCAATCTATAAATATTTGGTATATATAAAATAATTTAAGTAAACATGTGTTTACTCAAACAGACCTAACCTTTTTTCTACACTCAGAATTTGATAATCTGTTTAATTTTAATATACCTGTAATATTTCTTAATTTTGGTCACACTTTTGAACTTTGACTTCTCGTCCCTTGGCTCTCCAGTTTCTCTCTGTTTAGAGTCCTACAAAAATTCAGAATTTAAAAACTTCCTTCATAATTGAGAACTAGTTGAAACCTATCAGCTTGCACTATGGACATTTTTCAAATCTCAGTTATACAAACAAAAAAAGAGGGAGTTCTTCTACTACATCTCAGAGAAGCCTTATATAAAATCTTTCTCCTTTTCTTTTTTGTAATATATTCTGCTGCACTACATACTTATGATCATCAATTTTGTTTTTAAATTTCTTATCAACCAAGATAAATATTTTTGTGTCTGAATGGTTCGGTAAGTACTTCACCTGATTATAGTTCTGCTCAATAAGGATTCAGAGATTTATAGTCTAAGATAATTCAGCTCCAATAGGTGCCTAAATTTTTTCCTGAGGCACAGGAAGGCAATTCAGTTCAATGCTGAAATGCCTTCATAAAGGATTAGATGATATTAAACAAACAAACAAACAAAAAACAAGAAAGCAAACAGAAGATACATTTGCCATGTAGACAGCGTATACATGAAATATATGTGATAGGATATTAAAAGATATGTCCCCTGTCATTTCATTTTGAACTGAGGCACAGAAATGGGAACAATTGGTGATAAATATCTTGATAATTTATTCAGGACTTGCTGAGGGATTGACCCAAAGCTGGTTCTTCAAATTTTACCCCATCACCTACCTAAAGCTTATCTACAAATAGAGAAACATGTATAGTGAGTATTTATTGGAAAGAGTTGTCAGAATGTTAAATATTTCTCCCTTACACCTCAAACTTCTTCAAATCAGTTCAATCAACCACCTAGAGATCTTCATGTAGCGAATTTGGTGTATGTGACTCTGACATGGACACTTTTAAAAGTAAAACTGAGGAGAAAGAGGAAAATGGCACAGAATTAGAGAGAGGAAGCAAGAAGCACTAATAAGGGTAAGGAACAAGTGTGTTAGCTCTTTTCAGGGTCCAAGAGGACCCTGGTAAACAAAAAGACATGAATTATCTTGAAGGTTACACTGATGAGATGAGTGTATAGACTCCATCAGGAGTCTTTCTGTGGTGTAACACCAGAAGCAGGAAGTGAGAAGAGAATACAGAAGGTATATTGACCTTTTCACAAAATATTGCAGTGAGAGCTTCCCACGTGGGGGAGTTTCAGAACAACCCACAGAATAGTCCGTTGGGAGATAAACATATTTGGGCATCTATCCCAGCTAAGACACCAATGCCAGATGTCAAATACACTAGTCACTTTTGACTTGGCTTTTATTTTTAGGGAAACTCCTCTCTGAATTTGAATACAGGAGAAATATTAAAGAACAATTATTATTAAAGAGTTGGAAAGAAAAGACAAAAGAAAGTGACCATGTGCCCCTTCTTTATGTAGGTTTCTGAAACTGAATCATGATAAAGTTAGGGTAGGGAGAGAAGCATTGAACTGAATGAAAAACTCACATTTTCCTTTAAATAACAATGAATATTTTAATGCCCCCAAATTAGACCTTAATATCTAAAATAAGCACACTTGCCACAAGGTCTGCCACAAATATTGTCCAAGCAGAAAAGGGAGATCTACTATTTTATGTTTCAAGGACAGTGGCATGAGGAGAAACTAAGTTTCATGATTATACTTGTAGCAACTCCACTCATTCAATAAACACATATATGAAAACATGGCACAAAATAAAATTAAAATACCCTAAATAATAGCTGTTTCCTTGTCTTATCAATTAAATGTCTGCCGGAGCCATCTGGATGGTCCAGATTTGCTAGTAATCTTGAGTTAGTTTATTTACACTCTGAGGGATAAGGCTATGTTCAGTCAGATGGTGTGAAATTTCTACAGCTGGTGCAACTTTCTATGCACAGTCATGCCTGTAAAGATGTTTCATCTGAGAAAATCTCAGGGAATGGCTATCAGCCACTGTGTAGATTCCCTACCCAAATAACCCTGTGACTAGTACACAAGGAGATCCCTAACACTGCACTTTCAGCTGTGCCCAGTAGATTCCATTCCTATTTTCTTCTGTTTTCTCTCCTGAGTAATCTCTATTAAATATTCTCCAAGGAAACTATTCTAAGCCAATTAAAGATGGTCAAAGAATTAAATTACATATTCCTGGATATAATGAATAGCCTTCTAATATTTTTGATGCAACATTGTTATGATCTCATGTGAAATTTATCAATAACTTAATCACAACAGTTGTCTGTAATACCCCTAGGAATATTTGTGTCCAATAATCACAGTGCATAACAACCACTTGGCATAGTATTACATTCATGAAGTTGAATAAATGTCCTAAGAAAAATACAAATTGGGTTGAGGAAGCACTTATAAATAACATCCAGTTCATTTTTGTTTTGACCCATGATATGGTTTGGCTGTGTTCCCACCCAAATATCATCTTGAATTGTAGTTCCCATAATCCCCATGTATGGTGGGAGGGACCAAATAGGAGGTAATTCAATCATGGGAGTGGTTTCCCCCATGCTATTCTTGTGATAGTGAGTAAGTACTCAGGAGATCTGATGGTTTTATAAGGGGCTCCCCCCTTCACTTGGCTCTCAATCTTCACCTTCCTGGCGCAACGTGAGGAAGAACATGTTCATCCCCAGTTCTGCCACGATTGTAAGTTTCCTAAGGCTTTCCCAGACGTGCAGAACTGTGAGTCAATTAAACTTCTCTCCTTTATAAATTACCCAGTCTTGGGGATGTCTTTATTAGTAGTGTGAGAACGGACCTATACAATGCACATAAATCAATTGTTTTTTACTTCAGTGAGATTCATATTCAACATTTTCCAAAGAAAACAAAAAGGAATTTTCTCAAGGGCTTAGAAAATTTACTATTTTTAAATCACTGAAATATATCACACCTATCATCTACTCCTATGTTTGCAAATACTTGACATATTTCAGAAAAAGAAAATGGTGGTAATAAAATTCTGGTGCTATAAGCAAAATTCAACAGTGGCAAGGAAATTAGTCTCTAAGAATAAATTCAGGACACCCTTTTTCATGGTGTCCTTTGACTCAAAGTCTGTAGCCTTGTGGAAACCTGTTGTTTCATCTATTTCTAGGCTACACATCCCTCTTATAGATGATGTACAGGAATATGTAAGAAGTGTGGCACTGTTTTAAGGACCACCTGGAAACAGGGGTCAAGTCTTTACCAAAAATGTGGGATGTCACTATCTTGGTTAAAAAACATTTCTTTTATCCGCAAAATGGGGAAAAACTTGAAAAATGAAAGCTATGAGACCTGTCATTTGAGCATTTTTACTTCTACACTAGACAATGATTTAGCTAAAGCAAAACTGCATAAACATCTGAAATTTACTGTTTCATCTTACAGACAGAGCTTTGAATGAACTTAAAAGGAAATAGAATCACAGGGCTGATTGTTTCTGAAGATGTGTCTAAATTGGTTTTAATTACAATATAAGAAAATAGCTAAAATTTATCAAGTGCTCACTGTGATGGTTAATACTGAGTGTCAACTTGATTGGATTGAGGGACACAAAGTACTAACCCTGAGTGTGTCCGTGTGGGTGTTGACCAAAAGAGATTAACATTTGAGTCAGTGGGCTGGGGAGGGCAGATCCACTCTTAGTCTGATGGGCACAATCTAATCAGCTTCCAGTGAATATAAAGCAAGCAGAAAGACATGAAAAAGGTGAGATGGGTCTAGCCTCCCAGCCTACATCATCCTCCTGTGCTGGATGCTTCCTAATACACTATGTGCCATAGACAGTTCTCAACATTTATAAAGCAGGTTTAAGTGGTCATGTAATTGCCTGACTTTAGGTTTTCCTCTGCCTTCCCTTCTGAAATATTTACTTGATATATGGTATAATTTCCAAGACAATACTGCCACAGTTCTTAATTATATTGGGAGAAAGATATGCATAAAAATACCTAGATCTTAAGGCATATTCTAGTAAACATCTATTAAGCTATAGTAAATGTAAAGCAGAGAAGAAAAAAGTCCTGTCTAAATGCATTAAGGGAGCTACATACAGACACTTGTATATGGGTCTAAAAAGCTGAATAGGATGTGGATTGAGACCCATGTGTACAAATTGTTTTTAGACAGAAAGAAGATCTGATGTAAAACTGACTGAATAGACAAGAAAATGCCATGCAAATACAAGCAAAGGTGAATTTCCATGTGAGATATAATTGTACACAAGGAAATCACTATGTGTTTTTGAGAAATATTGAGAGTTAAGGTGAGAAAAGTACTCTAGAGTCAGGGCTTGGTGGGCCTTAATGTCACAGTGTGCAGGTAGGACTTTAGGTTGCTTTATTTAGGGCTACTGGAGGTAACTGAGACGTTCTTAGGAAAGGTGAGTATAGCAGTGACATACAGAATGCATTGTGAGAAAGATTGTCTCATAATGGATTTTATTATACCACACATAGGACAAAAGCTACCTGGCTCTGGAAATGTTAAGAAAGGATCAAATGCTCTGTTAATTAGGGCTTACACATTTGTTAATTTTTTAAATATGCCTTGCATGATTAGGAATAAAATTATTACTTCTGTCCTAAAATCCAGATTCTCTTCACCATTTTTAAATAAATAAAACCAATAGTATAAAATCCCATATATACTTGGAAAATAAATCATCTTAAATTCATTCTTGTCTTCCATCTCTATGCCATATACAGTTAGTATTTTCATCAAGCATTTATTTATATTCTCATAAACCAGAAAAGCTGTGTAGTACACTTGAATGTATTAAAATATTTTAAGGTGACATATTTTAAGACATGTGAATAACTTTCTTGAACAATTTTAGTAACATTCTGTGTAGTTGCAGTATCCTATTAAATGACCAGTCTGCTAAAGTCTTTCTTTAAATGACACCTTGTATATGACATTTTTGTCCTATGATTTCTTAAAGATTATAGAATCTGAATGAATTATGAAAGACTATTTTTATAGACCTTTAAGAGTGAAAAACTATTTTTAAGTCTACTGACTTGCACATGTATAGGAGGCAAGAAAATGTAGACAGGGTTTCCCATTACCAAAGCTTATAATGTGGGAAGATTTCCTATTTGTCAGATGTAAGATTCCTTTTGCCTCACTTATATCTAGAGTCCATCCAGTAGCATTTACAAACGTTTAATAGCAGGAAGTACATAATTAAGGAGAATTGGCACAATGGAAATATAATTTTTTCTGGGAAGATGATATATCATGCTGAGTAAAAGTGAATGTTAATTTATCAATTAGATTGCAATCTGACAAACCAGTTGAGAAATGATTATTTGCTCTTAGGAGAAAGCCCAAAAGGTATTTGAACTTATCAGAAGGACCCAGAAGTAGGATGGATTCTTTGTGTAGGAAAACTAAAGATTGGAAAAAAAAAAAATCAGCTATATCAACTTTTGACTGAAGTCATCTGTTAAAAAAAAAAAAAGAACAACAAAAAAAAAAACTGTCTACAGCCTTGCCAAGTAGCGAAACCCCATCTCTACTAAAAATACAAAAATTAGCCAGGCATGGTGGCAGGCGCCTGTCATACCAGCTACTTGGGAGGCTGAGGAAGGAGAATCACTTGAACCCGGGGGGTGGAGGTTGCAGTGAGCCAAGACCACACTACTGCACTGTAGCCTGGGTGAGAAAAGCAAAACTCCATCTCAAAAACAAAACAAAACAAGTCTAAAATATCTAAAACCTTAAACCTTAAACAAAGATAAACTTTACAATGAACAATATATTCTCTTTGAAAAAAAATGCTGCTATGGGAGATATAATGTCACAAACACTAACTATTATTTTTTCTATAAAACTGGATAGTTTTATAAATTATTAAAAATTCTTAAATTAATTTTATAAAAATATACCTACGAAAAATTAAAATTACAAATATAAGGTTACTATACATTACCAAAGTGTAATTGAAGCTTCTCAATGTTCCTGAAAGTAAGCTTGAACTTACCTTTTTTTTTCACTTTAAATCTATTCTATACAAGTGTTAAGTATAATCATCTATTACAATAGTTAAATTAAATGTCAAATGCACTGATAACCAAACAGCTGAAAACTTTTCTAATGTTTTGAACGTCTATTGGCCTTGTACACAACTGCCTTTTGACAATTTTGGAGTTATCCACAGTGAAGGTTTAATAAAGAGTGTTGTGTACTATGAAAAAGATGATTTTGTGCAGAAGAAGAAATATTCCCACATTATAGAATGCATTAGGTAGCCATGTAACCAAATACCAACTATACCCCCAAAATGATTGAAATTTTACAAAAAAGAATGCATAGGGGACAGAAGCATTTTGGTCTTGTCTGGTCATTTTTTATAGTTATTTCTCTTAATACTGTATCGCGTTCAAACTGATTATTTCTTCAGAAGTTATAATCATTGTAAGTTTTTACTATGGCTCTATCATGTATATATCCCCATCACACATATGTTTTCTGCTCTTCTAGGTAACTTTAATCCTTGTATAAACTTTGGGCATATAGAACGTGTCTAATTGGGATTTTGGCTCCACAATTTCCTAGAATGGTTCCCCTATGGTTACTAAAATAAAGCTCCAGTGCTGACTTCTGCGAAGTCTTTCATATTAAAGTTGAAGTGATAATACAAAGTGAGGAGTAACATTGAATCTTTCATCTTCCTAGCAGATTAGACTGAAATTAGAATAGAAATCCAAAAACATTGGATTTTTAGCTGTATAGATTTTGTTTTAACATAGTTTGCTCTGCATAACATAAACCTTCTCTTGAATGCACGCTCACCTCTCTTGGATGGCTTTATTATGTTTTATCTTTCTTCCAGACTTTGTCAATATATTTAGTTTTTGACAAAGCCAAACATCTCAAAGAGTTCTTTGCTAAAATCTGGAAAGCTGCCAGAATATGTAAAGGATGAAGTAACAAAAAAGTATATTATGATTCTCACAAAGTGGCTTTAAAAACACTAGTGTCATATATAAACTGACCTGGAATCCTAGTGTTCAAATATAATATATATTTTCAGCTTTTGATATTAGGATTGTGAACTTCATATTTATTTTTCTCATAATGGTACTTATAAATTATGTTAATATGATATTTAAATGCTTATATTAAAAATAAATCATGCTATACACATTATTTTATTTAGGTTTCTTACCACTTGAATAAAGTAATGTATGTTGAACTAGCTAAACTGTAACTCAGTTACTGCATGACCCCACCACCACAACCAAATTCAGATAAACTAAATTATCCTGCTTTAGGCATACATGATTTCAAAATCTGGGGCAACAGATGCTCTCAGGGTGTCTTTACAAATGTCCATCCCTTTACTCTTCACTTGACTCCATATTATTAGGCCTCCACTAATACCAATAAATTTTTAGAAATTCTATTTATCCCCTTTATTTTATTTGGAGGCCAATGAAGATAAGTTAGCTTAAAAATCACAAATTGAGCCATCTCTGAGACTTTCAAAACTAACATAGGCATGTGGCTTTCTCCATTCATCTAATTATGGGAGAGTGAACTCAAATAGTCATTATATGCACTTATATGTGTTATATTTGAACCAGAATGAAATAACTTGAATAGATCTTTAACTTTTTTCAATATATGTATTTAGCATGTACAAATGATTTTTTTTTAATTAAAAGACTGTTTAAGTTCTCACTGTTAGAATCACCTGTGTTCTAATATATGAAAATTCATAATTTTAAGTTACTAAAAATGTTCATGATTAGTAGTAATCCTATGCTGGAGCACAACTAGAGCATTTTACTGTTGTTGTTGGTGGTGTTGATACTGTTTATAGCCCCAGATGTAATTTGCCTACTTTAAAATTGTATATTTAATTGCTTTTCAAATGTATGCTATAATTAGTCTACTTCTATGCAAATAGGGTTTCCTCCTCTGTGGATCCCAAACAAGTTCCAGAAAGGAGTGTAGAAGAAATCTTGAGTTATACTTACCTATAAAAATGAACCCGTAAAATTACATGTCAGGGGCTGGGGAGTGGCACTTCATCAACGTCTTCAGCGCTTCCCACGAGTTCTGAGTAATGACAAATATGCTGCTTCGAGCGTCTCGGAGTCTGTGATCTGACTTCTTCAGACACTGCTTGCAGATAAATCAATCTGCTAGTCGGATTCTTTTTTTTTTTTTTTTTTTTTTTTGAGACGGAGTCTTGCTCTGTCGCCCAGGCTGGAGTGCAGTGGCGCGATCTCGGTTTACTGCAAGCTCCGCCTCCCGGGTTCACGCCATTCTCCTGCCTCAGCCTCCCGAGTAGCTGGGACTACAGGCGCCCGCCACCACGCCCGGCTAATTTTTTTGTATTTTTAGTAGAGACGGGGTTTCACCGTTTTAGCCAGGGTGGTTTCGATCTCCTGACCTCGTGATCCGCCCGCCTCGGCCTTCCAAAGTGCTGGGATTACAGGCGTGAGCCACCGCACCCGGCCAGTTGGATTCTTAATAGTTGAGTTTAACCTGATTGTATTTATTGTTAATTGCAAATACTTTTATAAACTGATTTTAGGTTTTCTTTTTACACTTTTCCTCCCCCTCCTTGTTTATTCTCTCCTCCTGTTTCTTGGTTCCTACATCACTATGCAGTGTTTAGGCTCACCTCTTGACAAAAACTTAGCAAAGTTTACCCTGCTACTAAATTGAAGACCCAGATTACTATTTTATCTTGAGTTTTAGTTTCATCTTTTTATCACAAAAATTAGTTAATACTTTGTCTAAGCGTAATTATATTTACCAATACCTTTTTATTAGTTGTTATTATTATTATTATTATTATTATTATTGAGACTGAGTCTCACTTTGTCGCCCAGGCTGGAGTGCAGTGGTGAGATCTCGGCTCACCGCAACCTCCACCTCCTAGGTTCCAGCGATTCCCCTGCCTCTTCCTCCTGAGTAGCTGGGACTATAGGTGCCCGCCACCACACCCAGCTAATTTTTGTATTTTTAGTAGAGACGGGGTTTCACCGTGTTGGCCAGGTTGGTCTCGATTTCCTGACCTCGTGATCCGCCCGCCTCGGCCTCCCAAAGCGCTGGGATGACAGGTGTGAGCCACCGCGCCTGACCTTTTTTCATCAATTTTTATAGATACCTCTGTTTCTTGGTTACCATGCCATTCATAGCCTCAATATCCTCTTTGTTAAGTCAAAATATTGAACGGATCTTTCAGAAAAGGTCTTTTTTGGTTTAGTCCCCTGAAGCTGCTCTGAAAATATCTTTATTTTTGGTATAATTCTGAAATATTTTAGTAGAGAAGATATTTTATGTGAGTATTTTCCTTCAGTTCTATGTATATACTATACACTCTGAGATCATTTTACTGCTGAGAAATCCGTTGCAATCTATTTTCATCTGTTTATGGGTAATCTTTCTTTCCTCAGAGCCTTGAAAAGCTCTTAATTTTTGATTATCTGCATTTCACACCACTGTGCCCAAGTGGATACTAAATTTCATTTAACATTCAATGTGAGGACTTAGTTATTTCCTCAAATGTTAGAAAACAAAACAAAACAAAACAAAACAAAACAAAACTCTCAGCTACTGTTCCTTCAAATATTCTTTCTCTACTATTGGTTTTATTTTTGTATTCAGATAATTTTATTATTTTACTTACTATGGAATATTTCAATATATACTTTTTCTAATTGAATTTCTTCTATCTAACTATTCTTGTTTTCTGTCATTTGCTTATATTCTATAAATTCCTTTCATAAAAGATGTTTATTCTTCATTTATCACTTCGGGACTATAAACATTTTAAAATACTTTTCAGGTTGTTAAGGTATTTTATTTAATTTTCTGATTATGGATGCATTTGGCTTTAATCATATTAGCTGTCTTCTTGTTATGAAATGATACTTTATAGAAACATTTTAAATAATCCCCCCCTTTGTCACTCTTTTTCTAATTTATGACCACTTGTCTCCATGGTCCCTTAGTGTAGTAGTTACACAATGAATTCCACATAGCTATCCAAGTTCAGAATGCAAAACCAGGTCTCATATCAGCAGTTTGGTGTCCCTGCATTAGCTAACACTGGGAAATATTGGGTAATATTAGGGAAATATTGAAAAATCCAAATACCCATCCATTTACCATAGCACTTAACTACAAGCTTGGGCCAGTATCTTCCCATCTCCTATTAGCTGCACCCCCAATTAATAGCTTTCTTATTTATGTCTCCAGTCACATGTCAAAGATCGCTATACCAATCCCTCAGTTCAAATCATAAACCTTACTTCATTCCTCCAACTAACGAAGAACAATTTAGAATTTTATGTGAGCCAAATTCCCAGTCACATAATGTTGACTGCTTCAAAACCCCAGGACCCAGTAGGCCGAGGGCTTTAGCAAGGCTCATCTTACTTTTTCTGTTTGTCTTCTGTGACATATCTTGCTTATCACTTTTTATAACTTATCTATCAATGCCATGGTTTTGGAATTTGGATAGGGGAAGTTGCTCAAGGTATGACCAAAAGTAGTATAATCTTTAAAAACAGATCCAGAATTAACTCTTTTTCATATTTAAGAAATGTTGATTCATAAGGTATTCATATTTTTCCAATTTATATAATATTGTAAGCATCTAATAGCATATTTTAGTTTATTATATGCTTCATTATGTTGCAATAGAACATAATCCTTGATTACGTTGTATGGAAATTTCAACTGATTACACTTCTTTGCAACCTTGTCAGTATAGGTCACACACATTTATTTTTGCAATTGCTGTTTGCAAGATCACTATCTGCGGTTCCCCCAAATCCCAGGAAATATTTTAGATTCTTTATTTACATATACAAACATACACATACATATGCAAACACCCTTTAGTGTTGACATCTTTTAAAATATATAATTTTCTCATCTGAAATGTTGTCATGCTTTTAACTTATTCAGATTATCTTCTATTTATTTATTTTTTACATGGAGAACAACAAAATCACATAGTTAGATGGATGAATGGATGTATAGAGAAATTTGTTTCTTGAGTTACTTCAAGGTGATTTATGTAAATTATTTAGCTTTAAGCTTTTTAAATATTATGTCATTTAAGAAAAGAATATACATAAAAATATGTAATTTTATATATATTTTGTATCAGCACTAATATTATGTATTATTAATTTCCTTAATTTTTCGATTTTGAGTTCTTAAGTCACTAATGATATTAGCTGCCAAAATGATGATTTAATCTCTTTTCTAATTGCTTCAAATTTTAGTGCAGTTTTCTTGCTCTATTTTATTTGCTCCCTTCAGAAAGAAATACAATAAAAGTTGTGAGAGCAAAGGTTGTTTCCCTTTATCTTACTTGAAGAGAATGTCTCTACTGTCAATTTACTGTGAAACATGACAGAGTATTTTTTATGTTAGTTGGTTTTTCCCTCCTGGTTAATTATTTCTGTTCAATATTTGCTGCTTTAAATTAAAAATGAATCATAAAAGATTTTAAATGATAAAAGCTCTAATACATGACTATTATCAAAATCACAAATTTATGCTTATGATGAGATATAACTCCTGTGTCTTTATGTGCCAGATAGTGTTCTAAAGTCTTGAAATATTTTAACATATTAAATCTCATAAAACTTCCTTGAAGTGAGTACAGGTATTACCCATGCATAAGGAAAGACAACTGAGGCACAGGCAAGTAAATTCTCCAAGGTGATAGAGTCCCCAAGTAATCGGCTGGGATATGTCCTTGTGATTAATTAGGGGTCATGCTTTCTAAAAATTTATATATATAAATGAAATTTTGTGAAGTATGAGTTAAATTTATTATAAATGACTTAAATTAGAATGATTATTTTAATTTTAGTTGCTTTAGTTTTTTCATAAAGGTACAATTAGGAAACTGGTGACTTTTTCATTTGATTATAGAAGTCCTATATGCAAGTTCAAATATAGAAAATGTTCAAATTCATTAAGTTACATTGTTTCGGAAAGAAGACATTTTCAAGACATGAAATAATGCTGATTTCCTCTCTCTTGAAAGTACAATCATTGTTTAAATCGCCCAAGGGCTCACTAGCCAGATCTACCTTTGGGATTTCAGATATTTAAGTTTCTGTACAATTTCACCATGATCTGGTCCACTGTCAATTCATAATAAGTGCTTTTTGGCACTGGACAAATAAATCCCTTTAGGGAAATAAAGAGAAAGCAAAAGTTAAAAATTAAGAAAAACAGTCTGATTATTCTTGAAATATTTCCAAGTAATTCATGCCAGAACTGCCTTACCAACATACTTGTCTCTCAAACCATATGAAGCCATCCCTTTCAGCTTGCTGACATTTCCAATACTTTAATTGGGACACCAACTCATTATACTTTGCTTTAGGGATCCAATAGTACCTATGGAACGTTTTAAATTGAATAGCCCTCAGGCCAGTTCCTCCACTGTGCCCAAGTGATAATTGATGAATATGCTTGTCTTAATTCTTTATTTTAAATTGCTCCTTTTCTCTTTTGCTCCTCATATTTAATTTTAAATTATTTCCTGCATCATTCCATTAGAGAGTTGATATCAGATTGCTAGTTCTTAGGCATTATACTACTTAACTTTAGTTAAGTGCTATGTTAAAAAAAAAAAGAAAGAAAGACAATAAGGTTCTTAATTCTACAAAGATGTAAAGAGGAATACCTCCTACATATAAATGTCTTAATAATCATCAAATGACCTTGTTAACTTAGATGATTGTCAAATAAGCCATGAAAAATGCAATGATATCTTGTTAATGCTTCTGAAAATATCTAAAAAGTGATTAAATTCTAATGAACTTAGTAAGATTTCCTAATACAAAATCAAAACCAAAAAAAAAAAGTCTCGTTTGAAACAGTAATAAAGCAAGGGAATAAAACAGATGATAAGTGACAAAAACTCAAGGGAAATATCTTCATATACAAAAAAAAAAAGAATCTAATTTAGAAAAAATATCAGCATATTTTCTAATGTTTTCTTAATAATTATAACTATTTTTTCTAAGAAATTCATTCTGAGCAAAGCCAAAATGAAGTTGATGTATGAGAAAAATGACCAGTTTAAAACATTTTATTATTTTCCAGGATTATATAGTTGATTACATACACACTAGAAGACATAAAAATATTCAAACCAGCACTGATCATAATATCAAGAAGGAATCATACGCCATGGACAGGAGAATAGATAGACTGTTTCATTTTCCCACAGCGAAGTGTTAAACAATAACAATTACAGCTATCTGTAATAATATGATTAAATAT
This sequence comes from Homo sapiens, assembly GCF_000001405.40. Classification (NCBI taxonomy): domain Eukaryota; kingdom Metazoa; phylum Chordata; class Mammalia; order Primates; family Hominidae; genus Homo; species Homo sapiens. Next base: position 180,178,461 of record NC_000004.12, on the reverse strand, counting down.
GAGGAACGAAATATTGGGCAAAAAAATGACTCTAAAGTTTACATGCAGAATAATATTTTCTAATAAATTTCAAAATAAGCAAATGTAAACGTTATATTTTTTAGATAAATATGTATATCCAGGAAAATTATAAAAAAGCAATGGATTGATAAACACAAAATCAAGATGATGGCTATGGGGAATGGAGCACGCACGGAACGGTAAAACGAAAAGAGCATGCCAGCAGGCCGAAGTCATCCGTCAGGTTCCAACTGAATTAAATTTAAAGAAACCATGCATTGTCCAATGGTGAATACATATTAAAAACAAGATCTGAATTAAATCAATTGTATGCATCTGAAATAAAAAAGAAAAATAATTATTGCCAAATGTGAAGAGAAAAATTGCAAACCATGCTCTGAAATTGAAGTCACTGAGTTTCTATAGATAATAATCTTAACGCCAATGCAGTTACTTAAAAACAAAATTAGACTTTTAGAATTTCAGAAATGGAAGATGCCTAAGAAATCACCTACCCAATCTCTTCATTTTCATGGTCAGAAAATAAGGATGGATGTCAGAGGGGGGATAAATTATGTTATCCCACGTTTCCCAAGTTCACACAAGATAATGATTAATGAAAGAAAAGAACATGTGGGATCTGTGTTGAGATATTAGAACTTCATGCATTATTAGCTGTAATTTTTCTAAGAAATTCCATCTTTCATGGAGTTGGGGTTTACCTTGCTACAAACCTCAAAGTCCATGCTACATACATAGAAGGAAGGTGCACTTTTTCTACTTAAAAAAGAAACAGGATGCGAGATTTAGAAACCATAACTGCATTCAAGGAATTCAGGTAATATGCGATTAATGACAATATTTACTGAAGAATCATTAAAATAGATAACAAAAGGTGTCCTAGAATATACTATATAATCTATACATTATTACTGTCCTCAGTTTGAAATTTCACATGGAGGAAACAGATTGAGAGCATAGAACTCTATCCCTTTTCCTTACTCTTCCCAGCAAAGATAACCAGCATATAGTTTAAATTGAGGGATTCTTAATTAGGGAAAAACCTTTGGTAAGTACACAGTAAGGTACAATTATGTGTGCAACTCTCTCTTTTAGGTGATGTGTAAAACAGAATAACTAAAATGAGAATTCTACCCTCAGCAAGGAGAATATACACTGTACTCCAATGAGGAAAATATATATGTGTATATTTTTATGTGTGTGGATGAAGATAAATAGCAAAGATTCATAGGAGAAATGGAAAAAGAACCATTTGTATTGAGAACAGGAAGAGATTCTGGTATGTTGAAACAGGCAAAATTTTAGAGAAAGCACATTCATGCTCACCTTTGAAAGAAACAGCAGTTGAGGCCAGGGGCTGTGGCTCACGCCTGTAATCCCAGCACTTTGGGAGGCCGAGGGGGGTGGATCACGAGGTCAGGAGATCGAGACCATCCTGGCTAACACGGTGAAACCCTGTCTCTACTAAAAATACAAAAAATTAGCTGAGCGTGGTGGCGGGCGCCTGTAGTCCCAGCTACTCGAGAGGCTGAGGCAGGAGAACGGCATGAATCAGGGAGGCGGAGCTTGCAGTGAGTCGAGATCGCGCCACTGCACTCGAGCCTGGGCAACAGAGCAAGACTCCGTCTCAAAAAAAAAGAAAAAGAAAAAGAAAAATTAAAAGAAAAAAAAGAAACAGAAGTTGAATACCTATCAATGAAAGAGCGCTATAAAATGGGAAAAGTAAAGCAGAAAGAGGCACAAAGATGGGGAACTGGATCATGCATACGAGCAAGAACAATGTAGTTTATTACAAGACCAACTACTGAAAGCATTCCCTATGTGCTATTGTGGCTTGAATCTCTGGGCATCAGATACTATTTCAGGTTTTTGAGGAAGCAATTGATACAGAAAGGACTTACTCCTTGAGATTAATGCAGTAAGAACTGAAGAATGAATAGACATTTCATAATAGAACAAAAACACAACAAATATAAGCCACCTAGCATATCTGAGACAAAATTTCAGAATAAGATATATTCTCATCTGCCCCCCCCCCCAAAAAAAATGAACTAACGACCCATTTCCAGCTCCATGATTCTATTTGAGTAGTTTAATATCCAGTGATATTAGCACAATTATTTCTTTCATGTCAACAAGTACTAAGTTTAAAACTAAGCACTGAAGAGGACAATTATCAAACTTACAGAAAGTGCTACAAATTTCTATGAATAAAGTCAAAGATGCTATAATCTTTTTAAAACTCATGCTGCTAACTCAAATTCATGTTATTACCATTGACTGTCTGGAAAATGGCTTTAAAAATATTTCCATAATTTTGAATGTAAAATATCCCAAATAATGGGAATTATCTTAGGAATACAATGTAGTTTTTTTAAAATTGGGTAACAAAATATTTAACAGTAAATCAAATTCCATTTGCACATGGCCAGCTCTTTCTTGCTTTTTTAAAATTTTATTTATTTTTAATTTTTTAATTTTAATTTTATTGTTTTAGGAACAGAATCTCGCTCTGTCACTCAGGTTGATGTGCAGTGGCATACCCCACTCCCAGCTGATTTTTCTGTTTTTGAAGATTATGAGATTTCACTCTGTTGCTCAGGCTGGCCTGGAATGCCTGGCTTCAAATGATCCTCCCACCTCAGCTCCCAAAGCCTTCTTTCTTTTTTATACATGGATATCCTTTATGACAAGGACAAATCCATCTTCAGCATTCCACAGTTGTTGAATGAAGGAAAAAAATGAATGGGAAATAAGTTGATTAATAAGCTAATAAGAGATAATCATAAGTAATAAGTTGATAAATTTTCATTTCTACGAATGATGTTCATTGCATATACTTGCTGAATAAAGCACTAATATTTTGTTCCTGTGACTTGGCACATTCTGCTCCCTCAATATTTTTTGTTTCCTGTCTCATCTTTTCCAGATTCAAATGCCTTTTCCTTCTTGAAAGATAACATCAGATAAATCTAATCCTTTCTATATGACTGGGAATTAATATTTTTTTCTTTTGCACTACGACAGCACTTTATCTGTAGTATTGCCTTGAACTGTGATTAGGGGTGTAAATGTTTTTCAGACTGCAAATTATTTAAGCACAATAAATCTCACATTCACATGTGTTCCCTCTGTCACCTACCACAGTGAAGTTTTCCAGTGAGGGAGTCGTGTGTATGTGTGCCTGTGTATGTGAGAGCACAAACACATACACAGGAATAGATACCTATGTAAAAGTTAGCTCTTATGCATATAAATACATATATATTGATTTCATTATATACACTAATCAAAACCACAGCCAAATGTATCTGATTTAGATACTGATGTGCAGATTGGACTAGATGAATCTTAGATCCCTATCAGCTCCAAATTTCCACGATTATTAAGAAAAACTGCATATATCCATAGTTTCTCAATACTGACCAAACAGGACAATCAATAATAAAATACTTTCAAAATAAAGACTTCTAGGTCACTTTCCTGGAGATGATGAGGTAGTAAGTCTGGAATAGTTCCTGATTTTTTTAAACTAGGACTTGAAATGTACCCAACGCTTAGACAGGATAATACTGGCGTAAAGGATACCCTAACTACACTGACTTGATCATCACACATTCTATGCATGTAATAACATTTCACATATACCCCATAAATATGGACAAATATAATGTAGCAAAAAATAAAATAAAAAAATTAAAACCTTGCAGAATCTATTGTACCTTGCAGCCAGGATTCATAACCACTGCCATATATGCACTGTAGACATATTACATGTCTGTGATACTTTGTGAGCTTCTCATTAATTTTACATTGACTAACCCATAGTTCTTGCATATTCTAAGGGTAAATATAAATTTTCCCTCTGAATAATTTCTTATTTATAAGATGCTTAAGGCTAGATAAGAGTAGTTTAAGTGGTATAAATATGCTTTCTGCTGAAAGAAAAAAGAAAGTGTACTCAATTACATTTTATACTTCTTCAGTATAAAATCTATCAAACTTTCATAGCTGGAGTGCCCTTGTGTGCTCTGAGTCTGACTTGGAGAATTTATGGGAGTAATTTTATTTCATTTTTTTAAATCTAGATATATCTTCAAAAGAGATTGAGGAAGTTCAAGAATATAAATATGTAGACACTTATTTCAAAAACCACATATCTGTATCTGCTTATATAGCTTTGACCAATATTTAGTTTATGTTATGCATATGTATTATGAGTTCTATAATAACATTACAGCCTTTAGGATTTTCCCTTCAAATTATTAAAATGTTTTATAATGAATGCTCTTGCATATTATCACAAAATATCACATATATTTGAAATATTCGCTGGGTCCTCTTAAAGCAAGACCATTGTCTTTTTGACTAGAAAATGATTATGTAATGGATATACATAGATCTCTATAAAATATGAATGCTCTTTTCTAAAGTTCAGACATTGTTCTTAACCAATAGGAATATTTTTCATCACTGTGGTCACCAGATGGTGGTTCACTGCCAGATTTACTAGAGAGTTAAATACATGCATTCTGAGACAATATTCCCAAGGCAGTCTCTTTTTCATCTCTTCACTTCCTAATTTCCATCCCTTTCAGGTGGAAACTGCTTTCAAAAAAAGATAATTGGTTGTGCTTTTCAGCACTGAAGTGTTTGCTTCAGGTTAAGACTGTCTTTTAAATTAAAACAATTTAAATTAAAACAATACCCTAACTTTTCCTCTCCTTCTATCTCATCATTTGTAAATGTTATTTCATGAATTTCTTTGTATTATTTTCCACGAATCCCAAAGCTTCTCTGCCTCTGCATATTACATTTATTTAATGTTTTTATTTTACTTCTTTCCTGCTCTCACTCTAATTCCGGTTCTTGCTAAAGAAATGCTCTGCAGCATAGTGTATAAAACTCAGCATTATAGCTTAAAGTCTCCTCATAAATGACAGGAAAACCATTCAGGAAAACAAAACACTTTGGACAATAATTCCTTCATCTGCAATGAGATCTGCAAAAAGGATAGAATAGCAACATTCTACAAGTATTCTTCCCACATGATTGTTGTATGGATGTGTTTGATTTTTACTATATTTGGAATTTAAAAGTTATTCTTCATAAATGTATATGTATCACCATGCCCTTCAATTAGAACTTTCTTTCTCCTGTCTACCCTTTTTTGTTCTGTTTTTCTACTTAGGATTTTGTGACTTTTACAATATTATATTATGGTGTCTGTATCTTAGGAACTTCATCTTGTTCTGACACCATTCTCCGTCTGCAGAACAGGATGTCTCTATTCTCATTGTACTTTTGCCCAGGAATGCAAGGAACGGTGGTATTAATCAATACAATGAGGAAAGAAGGAAGAAAAATAATTGGAAAAGAGGTCTTTGATTTTGGACATCTTGACTCTGAGATCTCTAATCTATGTAGACATTGTTAGTAACCCAACAGAAGTACAATTAAGGAACATTATCCCTACCACTAATAACAGATGTACTCTTCAAGAAGGACAGTCATCTTTCTTTATTCCTTAGAATGCCAATGCCTGTTAACTATCAGATTTCTAATAGAAATTCTGGCCAAGTAGAAAGATCCCACAGCATGAACATGGGGTAAAGGTAGATTATATGAAATCACTGATGACGCCCAAGAGGTAGTTTCTGTCCTAAAACAGGGGTCAGGTTTTAAGCATAATAACAAATAAAAGATGAGAAATGATGAATTCCAGAAATAAAAATGTGCAATAATTGTTGTTTAGCCCACAAGCAGACACAAAAGTTAACGTTAATTCTTGTTCAGCAATCTTTTAAATGCATGTGAGAAATCTATTAGTTTCCAGATCCTTTGGAGAAAGCAAGCAAGCCACAGATTTCTAGTAATAATATTTACTGCAGTCTATCCATATATTAAAACTAATAAAAATGAATGCAGGATGTGCTTCTGAGTGCAAATAAAAACATATTATCCTAGAGCTATCAAAAAGATAATAAATACCAGTGAGTTTCATTAACTCTTTAACTTATCAAATGTAAATTTATTAGCAAGTGGAATACAAATTGAAATAATTCTATTATATTAAAATGAATTTTACATCTTGATGATAGCTCTACCTGCTTAATTCATATTTTTTAACTTTTAAAATTTCTTAGTCTCCTTTAAGTCTGGCTATTTGATTACAAAAATAAAGTAAAACGATCTTAGGTATATTAATAAAGCATATATGATAACTATTCAGGAAAGAAAATGGCCAAGATATATTATATGTAATAGTTTAACATATTACATTTAGATACTGTCCAAATTTATGAGTGTGTTGAGTTCTAAAATTTAGTTTAAGATTTTGGCCGGGCGCTGTGGCTCACGCCTGTAATCCCAGCACTTTGGGAGGCCGAGGAGGGCAGATCGCGAGGTCAGGAGAACAAGACCATCCTGGCTAACATGGTGAAACCCCATCTCTACTAAAAGTACAAAAAATTAGCTGGGTGTGATGGCCCCTGTAGTCCCAGCTACTCGAGAGGCTGAGGCAGGAGAATGGCGTGAACCAGGGAGGCAGAGCTTGCAGTGAGCCGAGATCGCACCACTGCACTCCAGTCCGGGAGACAGAGCGAGACTCTGTGGCAAAAAAAAAAAAAAAAAAAAAAAAAAGATTTTATATGGAGTTTTTAATCTATTTTCTGATAAATTTTTATTGTGATCATGCAGCAAATGCCACTTGCTTCATTCATTTATGTAAAAAATTTATATTCACTATATTTTCCAAGTCCTGTGTTAGTGCTGAAAATACAACCATGTGCAAGATTGGCATGATACCTTGTATGCCATTTGCTAAGGTATTATTGGCATATTAATAAAATAATACATAGCTATTTTAATATCTGATGATATATAAAATACCGTTATAATAAAATATGCTCAAAGTTACATTTTGAAATGCCATAAGGACGTTCATTCAAATGCAAAATCTGACCAAAGATTGCCTGTTTAGGTGATAATTAGAACACTACTGGGTAACGGAAATTGAGACTCCCAGGGTTCTATGGGATTCTAGCTCTTTCAAAGTTAATGACAAGAATGAAAAATAAATTTTAACATCTTAGTAAAATATGAGAATATAGTATATTCTTTTTGGTCTCCCTACATAACTCAGTGATCCCTATTCTATGAAAAATGGGCTTCCCTCTTCCGTGGATGGATGATGGCCCCCATGACTCCATGATTACCGCCTTTTGCCATCATCAATTTGATTAGAGATGAAGAAGTAAATAAACTGGAAAGCAAATTCTAAGCAACTCTAGATAATCAGGTACTCTGTCAGGAAAACAGAAGTCTTTAAGACTGATAAAAAATTGTATAATTCTGGGTTCATCTGTCTATCACTTCATCTTTAGCATTTTTCAGCCCTCTGCCACATATCTGTGAACTGTGTAAATTATAGCTCCAACTTCTGTCTCTGGCAATATTGTTCAATACTAATACTTAGTCCTAGCAGTTCATCTCTATCAGAAGTTCTTTATTCAGTTTCATCTCTTGTGCCATGATGGGCACCCAGTCCTCAGGGCTTCTAGTATCAGTTCGTTAAGGAAAGTAAATGCCACGAACAGGTCCAATATATTAAAACACTTAGGTGTTTGTCAATGTCAGATGAAAAATAATAATTTATAATCTGTACCATCATGAGGGAGTTTCTAAGGCTTTTTCAGTTTTTTAAGTAATGAAATCCTTCCTATATTTATTCTCCATTTGTAACCCATTTATAAATCATGCATTAGTACAACAATTATGATTTTGGTAACTTTTTTAGTTTCCACTATTTCCCTCCTAATGAGAGTAGTGATCCCCAAATTCATCATGATTTCTTCTGAGTAGCTCCCTACTCCCTTTCATGACAATACTCTGATAGAGGACACCGTAAAGGTGTTCTCAAGGATCATTTCTAAATAACAATTTAATCTACATTTCATTTTCAGTCCAAAATCCAAGCAGAAACCCCAATGTGCTACCAAAGTTCAACAGTAACAGGTTTTTCCCTTATTCCGCATGTTTTCCGTTCAATAGGTATTTTCTCGCGCCACACAAATAAAACATCAAAAAGGAGTTACATGATTTTTTGCTGTTTCTGAAAGAGATGTCAGAGGACGACTGCATTTTATGACACACAGTAAAATGTCCTAAAAATCCTTTAAACTAACCTGTCTCACCAGAGTCCTGAAAGCAACTGGTCAGAAATCTTGATGCTTATCTTGCCCACACTCTTTTCCCACACATGTCAGCCTATACTATGTTCATTTGGTTTGTTAGTTTCTCATTCAACCTCTGCTCCTCAGTCTTATGACCTCATTCCAGTTTCTAGTATTTCATATGCTTATCTGAGCTGCAGATACAGTTCTTTGTTTATTTCAGGATTTTTCCTTCTATTTTATCTAATTTTTGTATTTCATTTATTGGTCTTCTTTTATCTGTCTTCTGTATTGATCATTTTTTCTCTTAATGGATGAACTATTAGATTCCCTTCATTAACCTCCGTAATTAGCTCAAGATTTTCCCTTCTCCTGTTAATTTGGTTTTTGGCTCTGGCCAGTCTTACCTGCTAACTTGGGCATCTTTGCCCATAACTTCTATTTGCTCTGATAAAGCATATGCTAGTTGCATTGCCCCCTTTTTGTACTGACTTCACCACAGAGTTTCAGTGAGAGAGACATGTGCATTGTATATTTTCTGCAGCCTGAAAACATAGAAGTGAGGGAAAGGGAGTGAGGTCTCCTGCTGAAGTAGTCCCAGCTAAGACAGCTGACGTCTGCTCTCTCTCCTACTGTCTGTCTACACTAAGGACCATTTAGCCCATGGTGACTTCCTCTATCGAATTGGCACTTTGACTGAATGAGAGTGTATTTGCTGGTGCTTCCTGCTTTTACCCTGGGCAACTCTCTGTTGCAGAAATATACAGGGCTAATGTTGCTCAGAGTTTTTCTTTGACGCTACTACAGCCTGCCTACTCAATCCCTTATTCTTTTCTCTTTGAATTACAGTGTCCCACTAATGTTTCTCAAAATGTTGACAATTCACATTCTTTACTCAGTCCTGCCAAATAAGGTGGAACGTAACTATTATTCTCTAATGTCCATCGTAAGCTTCTTTAACCTTGTGGCATTCTATTAGCATAATTCATACAAATCACAGATAATGCTTGTAAGCCTTGTTAAGTGACAATTATTGCAACCTTTATTGTATGTTCTATTGTATCTTTTTGAGTAACTAAAATCATAACATCCAATTTTATTTCACTTAAATGAAGTTAAGAGTTGGTTATAATGACAGTTATGGCAATAATATGGAACCGACTATACAAAAATAATGCCTAGATTGAAATAAGAGTATGTTGTTCATAAATACCTTGAGATTAAGTCATTAAAAGAGATGATTATACAATATTACATGTCCGAAAGGAGAATGAGAATAATTCTATTCTGCCTGACAAGAGACCTTGTATAAATCAGTTAGCATTGCTGCACCGCTCAATTTTCCTACAGGTAACGTGTGTAAATGTACTACAGGACCTGCAATGAGAATTTCAGATTACAGTTCTGTAATATGAATTGTCTACTGCTTTTACTGTTTCATTGATTGTTATTCTAAAACTAGTTAAACATACACATTCTTGACTTCATATCAACTTCACATAGAAGTAGATATATTTCAGGAGAAAAATACACCTATGTTTTAATGTTCTATTTCAATGTAATATAATTAATCATTCTTTAATGCTATTTTTGGCTTTAAAGAGTTTATAAACAAGTAAAAATTTAAATCTCAAACCTCTCTTTACAAATGGTTTTGATTTGACATTAATTTTTACCTTTTTTCACAAATATCTTACAGTATAAAATTTATATTTACTATTACTGCTGTGGCTGCTGTGACTACTACCAGTATTACTGCTATACACACCTATTTAGTGTTTCATATTTTTCAAAATTATTTTCATTCGGTACTTATGCTGTAGAACAGAATATAAGAATGGCTTTTCATTTGCTACCTCATATGCAGGCATTTGCTTTCTTTTTGTCCGACTTTGGAACACATGCCAGGGGAAACGACAGGCTCTTTGTTACCTATATCGAATTTGTGTGGGGCAGATAAAAACCAACCACTCTTGCATCAGGGGAGGATGCAGACTTTTTTTGAGATTCTTATTTATAAAATCTGACAGTGTTGGGGAAAATAATAATTGTTATAATGTTAGATTGGGTTTCATTTATTTTCAAAATAGATTTATTGTATTTTCATTCTCAGCTTCTGATTTCTGCCTTGATCATTCAGTGAAGATTTTAATCTTCCCACAGGTAATAAGATTCACAGGTCAATTCTGAGTATAATCTCAATATGTTACCAGGTAATATGATGTTATGACAGATGTTTGGTCATCTTCTTTTCACACTGAATAAAAATGGGGCTCACACTAGGAATGGGATGGGGATCGTTTGCGTCAAAATTATTCATATAAGCAAAATTTTTTTCTTCAAATAATTTTCAGAACTGAAAAGACACTGTAGAGTAGAATTTTGAGCTTATGAATGAATATTACCATCTCCTAATATAACTAATCATTTTGTTATTATAGTTTTTTCTAATAATTAAATGAGACTCCTATAGTAGAGTGAGTTTATGTAACCACATATATGAGTTGAAAATGATACATAAACTACTGAACAATTCTTTAGGCATATGTGAAGCATTCAATGAATAACAGACACTTTTTGTGGTCTGTTTTCTTCCGTATGTCTTTCTAAAATTCACACATATTACCCAAGGTGCTACTAGAGCTGCCTCTCAAAGTGAAAAGTCCTGCTACATATGGTGTAATATGCTCATCAACTGTTGTCATACATGTTTCTCTTTGAACACTGATCCCCTTATATTGCCTTTTCTAGGCACCCACCTAAATTATAATCATATTTCTACACTTAGCCCATCTATTTCAGTGCATCTTTTCTATGAAGAGATGTCTCATCCTTCTTTCTTTGCAGTTCCTCTCAAACCACAACATTTATGCCTGTTAAAAATGCTTCTGGAAGTTCGTCAGAACACATTTTCCCACTAATTTATTTAATTTGTTTGATGAAGCGGTCTCCTGTACTTTGGACTTTTCAGGATATAACTACTTTTATTCTAATTAGAGGTCTTTCTTCTCATCTCAGTGATAGTCTCAAACCATCATTCCTCAGTTGTTATACATTTTTCTGTTTTTGAATGGTGTTTCTAATCTCTACAGGCAACAGCTCTCCTAAATAATAGCAAAGAGTCTGAACCACATACACTCTCCTATACAGCACTTATTTAATTTCTGCTGTCTCCTTCCTTTTTTTCTATTTCTAAACTGCTTTTACTTCCATGTACATCTAGGGGTTGTATCTGTCTGATTATTCTTATCTTTGCTTTCTCATCCAGTTTTACCTCTCTAGTAACCTTTCCTTTTCTCTGTAAAATGGACTTTTCTCCAAAACATTAAAAACACACAACCACTAGCAACACACACATATTCATTTTCCTTTAATGTACTGTCCTTTCATTAACTGTTTACCATTTACTTCTTTGTAAAAACCCTCAAATAATTGAAAAAGAACTACTATATTTAGATTCTATATTTCCCCTGCAGATACTTTGAATCAACTGCTTAAAGATAATATTCTAAATCAACTCAAAGTACTATTTTAGGCCACATTAAAATTCATCTTGCTCTGAAATTATTTATTATCAATTTTCAGTCAACATAATGTCTTCAATTCTGGCATATCTTAACACTCACTCTACATTTATAATGATGACTCACTGCAAATTCTATCCATCTTTTAGCCTCCAAATAGTCTTTTTAAAAATAACCTAATAAATTTTAAAAAGTTCTGCCATGATTAAGTGGTTAAAAAAAAGTATTTTCAGTTGGCTCGCTAGCCTAACAAAACAATTAAAATATTGACATTAATTAAGAAAATGCTATATTTTGGTAAATAATATTTTTACTTTATTATGTTGAAATGTAAAACATTTGAGAAATAAAACTTTAATACCAAAATTAATCATTGCTATTACCATAAGAAAAAATGGTATTTTTTATAATTAAATATGATCTTTTCAATATACCTAGGAAGCTTTAACATTTGGTATGTGGTTTTGGTTTTCTCAAAATTATTGCAAGCCATTTTCAGATTTCACATTCTATTTGTTGGAAAGTAGCAAAAACATGCACCTTGTGTTTCTTTTTATGAAACTTCAGAATTGGCTAAAGATAGTCAAACATTTAAATATCATGAGTTACCATATACTGATTCCTTTTGTAAAAAAGGGACTAATGATCATAGATCAGATGAAGAATGGTACAATATTAAGCTATTCAAAGCTACAGAAAAAAACTTACTTGCTGGAGTTCCTTTTTTTTAATAATATGCATGTTTAATTAACTGATTGAGTAGCCACAAATGCAGATTAGAAAGTAGTTTCATGAAATTAAAAAAAATCAAAATTAGTAACAAAATTAATTTAAAAATACTAAATTGTACTACTCATTTTTTCTTAGTTTTGATATAGTCTTTTTCTGTAGAGAGAAAGAAATTTTCCATTCACAGCAGCTCATAAAACTTCTTGTCTTTGTAATCAAGTTAAAACTAGGGGAAATGACTTGCCTTCATCAGCAGGATACCATTTTATTAAATTCAATCAAATGTTCTATTTACACACTTCAATCCTCAATAAAATCCAATTTTATTATTTGAAACCTATAATCTTCGGTGAAATTGAATAAGTGTATTTCACCAAAGCTGAAGTGCTCTGTTATATTAATCAGCTAGACAAGATTCTATAAAAAGGTGGAGAAGGGTGGAGTGAAGGTAGCTTGGGAACGGTCTGTATTTTGCTAAACTGTGTTAGCCCTCTATTATAAGTTAATCAATGTAAACATATATCTCAAAATTTTGATTAAGTATCACTGAAATGCAAATGCTTTCATCTAGTTTTTATGTTTTATTTTGAACATATATTCATATATGTTCAAAACATATATTAGAGAATACTAATATATTAATATATTCAAAGTACAGAACCCATTTATTTAGCCTACAGAAGCACAGGCATCATCTACTTAGGAATTCTAAGGAAAAAAAATAATAATATAAAATATAATTAATAAAAGAAAACACACCCAAGTTACAGTGCTTCAGAATATAATTAAGTCAATTATGCCATGAGAAGAATAAGCAAGTCTCAATAAATTTAACCCACGAGGGCATCAATCCAGAGCGGCAACCATCCCCTGTATAGTTTTCCTTCATGCCCCTGTGGACTTTCTCTGAGAAAGCCTACTGGGAGATTGGGAGTGTTTCTCCTTTGCCAGTAGAGCAGAGCAAATAGCACTGGACTATGAGTCAGAGGCCTTGTTTATAGTCAAGGATTCAGAGTTAACTGTCTGTGTAACTTTGGGAAAGTGATTTATAGTGTTTGAGCCTCAGTAAGTATGCTACTAGTTCTCATGCCTCATCTGTGGCAGATAGAACTAACTGACTGATTATGACATGCTTCACATATTCCTTTTCCTGCACAGTGTTCCAGGCAGCAAGTTCCAATCAGCTTTAGACAGCATTGCATTTTTCAACTTAAATTTTTCAAAGATTGCCATCCTAAGACTGGATAATTTCTAAGGTTGTTACTATTTCTAGCATTCCATAACTCTAAATGCCCCAATATGATTAACTGATTCCTGGTATTAATACCGTATTGGCTCCAAAGCTCTCATCTCTCTAGATAATCCTCATGCTATTTATGCATGGGTTTTGGTGCTTCTTAGTTCAATGTTCCTTAATCTGCTTGAGTTCTCTAGATTCTGATTAATAAAACTGAAGTTTATTAAGGGTGTATATACATATATATACAGACATACAGTCATGTGCCACATAATGACATTTCGGTCAATGATGGACCACAAACACGATGATGGTCCCCTGAAATTACAATGAAACTGCAAAATTCTATTGCCTGGTGACATGGTAGCCATTATAATATCATAACTCAATGCATTACTCAAGTGTTTGTGGTGATTCTGGTTTATACAAACCTACTACACTGCCAGTCATGGAAAAGTACAGTGAATACAACAATGTTCAGTTCAGAATACTTCATGATAGTCAACAGCTATGTTGCTGGTTTATGTATTTTATATGTTATAATTTTTATCATTATTGTAGTGTGTATTTCTACTTATTTAAAAAAAAAGTTAACTGTAAAACAGACTCAGGAAGTTCCTTCAGGAGGTATTCCAGCATTGTTATCATCAGAGATGACAGCTCTATGCTTGTTATGGCCCCTGAAGGCCCTCCAGTTGGGCAAGATGTGGAGGTGAAGTGATATGGACATTCCTGACCCTGTGTAGGCAAAGGCTAGTGTGTGTTTTTGTGTCTTAGTTTTACCAAAGAAGTTTAAAATGTAAAAAAAAAAAATTACATGGAATAAAGTCTATACAACAAAGATACAAAAAGAAAAATATTTTTATACAGCTGTACAAAATGTTGTGTTTGTGTTTTAAACTAAGTGTTTCACAAAAGAGTCACAAAGTTCAAAACATTAAAAAATTAATAAAAAAGTTACAGTAAGCTAAGGGTAATTTATTATTAAACAGAAATACATTTTTATTTATAAATTTAGTGTAGCCTAAGTGTACTATATTCTATAAAATCTACATTAGTGTACTGTAATGTCCTAGGCCTTTACATTCACTCACACTCACTCACCAACTCACCCAGAGCAACTTCTGGTCCTGTGAAATCTATTCATGGTGAGTGACCTATACAAGTGTACAATTTTTGATCTTTTATACCATATTTTTAACAAACCTTTTCTTTGTTTAGATGTGTTACATATACAGATACTTACCATTGTGCTACAATTGCCTACATGTTTCTGTACAATAACATGTTTTACAGGTTTGTAGCCTCGGAGCAATAGGTTATGCCATAGAGCCAAGGTGTGTAGTAAGCAGTATCAGCTTGGTTTGTGTAAGTACACACTATCATGTTGGTACAATGATGAAATCACCTAATGACACATTTCTCAGAATATATTCCAATAGCTAAGCCATGCATGACACAGGTATATGTAGCATATACCCTATGTATGTATACATAAACGTAGATATGTGTGTGTATGCATATGTGTGTGTTTTTGTGTGTGTATCTGGAGTTTGAAATAAAGCTGAATACTTATAAGTTTAATTATAATATTAAAAATGCAGGAGTCATTTATTTCAATTGGAAGTAAATGATAGCTCGGTGACATTTACAAATAATACATAATTTAAGGAAGAAGAATTATGTAGGATGTCTTTGGTTTTGAGAAATGCTTCTTGGAGTAATTACTCTGTGCTGTAGAATGGTGGACATGTTATTCTCACCCAATCAATCCCCTTGAATGTTTATTCATCACTTAACTACCTTTAGAGCATAAAGTAAGTAAATGTGACATAAGTGACAAAACATTCCATTAAATAAGTTTTCTTATTTGGTTTGGCAAAGTGCATTACAACTGGCAGGGTGTATTTTGTTGGATTTCAATTCAAGAGTTTTGTCAAGAAGCAATATGATATGTCAGACAGACCAATGAACTTAGAATTAAAAGACAAAGATTCAAATCTTGTCACTGATTAAATGCAATAATAGATTTAGAAGTACTTTTTTAAACATAAAAATTATATAGATGCTTGTTGTTAAAAATACACACATGTAATTATAATAGCATGTGGTGGCATTTTATATTAAAGATAACAAAAATATGGTTCTCACATAGTATTCAGTCATAGAAAAAAGTGAATCATATTATAAAATTGTTATGTGTAATAGATGCTCTCAGGTTGTGTGTTGTGTGTGTTCATGTGTAGTAAGTTAAAGAATTGGAACATAAAATCATAAGTGTTCTTTTATTTGTAAGTGAGTAAAACTGCAAAATGATCAGAAGAGATGTGGGTGATGAATGTGAAGGGGAAAAATAAAATATGGTGTATTACCTCTAAAATATTTTAATTTCAGTTTAGTTACATAATAGCTATCCATTATTAGGAATTTTTAAGTTGCAATTTGGTACTTTCAAATCTATTTTTTAATATATAGATTTTAAAATATATTCAACGAATTGGTGAATCACTTTATTATCACAGTACATATCCAAAGAGCCACTAACAATTTAAGTCATTAATATTTATATTCAGACTATTGAAAACTTGGACCATTATGTTCTCATAGACTTTTCATATTATAACAAAACATATACATTTATTTGTTCATAAAACTTTCACATGCCAATAATTTGCTGCATTCCTATTGCAAAAAAGTAAAATAGATATTAATTATTTAAGAAAAACTCTTTAGTCAAATACTATCCTAACCCCGTCCCCCAATATATACCTCAAGATAGAGAAAAAAAACCATCATATTGACATAAATATGGAGAGAAATTTTATCATTTCTCTTGCTAGCAATTCACGTTTACATTATAAAATGCCAAAATACTATGGCCCAGTTATGGGAAAATGTTATTAAAAATAATTAACTACAGTCCTCAAGGCACAAAGCATATGAATAATTATATTAATATGACTTTATCCACATACATTTGGTTATATAATCCAAAGTGCTTTCTCTGTTCCCAAAGTGCTTAAGTCAACATTGTTTTTAAAATTAATAATAATAGATAATAGATAACAGATAATATATCATGTAGACAGAACTTAAGTGACTTAGCCAATGCCACAGACCCATCAGTGACCCATGTTGGACTAAAAACCATCTTCTCTCTCTCTCCCTCCATTTCTTCTTCATTTAATAATCATTTATGTATTTGGCACTTGTACCAGGTGCTGAGAAATTCATAGATAAATGAGAAGCTCTAGAAAATTACTAGATCTGTTGCCTTCTCCTCTTTGGTGAATGGAATAAAGCATCTGAAATGTAGGATTTAAGGCCCTGGTTAATCAACAAATTGAGCAGTGTCGAACAAAAGAAACATGATTTTAATAAGTATGAAGATTAAAATGGAAATAATAAACCACACCAGATATGAAGGTTGACAAAGTGGTATGCATATTAAGATGCTTGCCATTTAAGTGTGTATGGAAAGGAATCCATCTGTGAGATACATAAGGGAGATAGATGTGTTTCTTTGATAAGATAATGGGTGAGTTTTAAAATAAACCTAAATTAGTTAAGTTCGACACACTACCTACTATATGGAAAATTTCTTATTTTAGTTAAAGAAATGGTCAAGCATAACTATACACACACAAACACATACACACACACACACACACACTCATATTCTATATACTGGTTTTCAAATAGCCATTTTCTTTTCTATTCTGTTTTCTTTAATTTAGAATACTGCCTTTGTTAATAAAGAAGAATCTTAAAATGCAATAACACACCTTACTGAACAAATTTATTTAAAATGATATAATCTGCTATTTGTCTTATTTTATATTGCGAGTTTCCACTGAGTGCTAATAAGTGCTTGCCATTGAAGAGGTTTGCATTTAACATCTGTCACCAGCATCCAGCAACTGCACCTACAGGGAACTGTCAGAGAGATTGTTATTCTCCTTTGTAACACCCTGAATCTGTCTCACATCATTTACATACAGATAGTTACAGGCATTCATCATTTCATTATGCTGACGACTTCACTATTCTGATGTATAATGTCTCTTTAATGAGCCTCAAAAAATACAATATTCCTTGATTTATGACTGCTTAACTGAAAAATTATACAAATTGGCAAAAAACTACTCATAATGTATTTTCATTTTTCCTTCACATTACACTTACATTTAACAGTGACTCATGAGTTAAGATCATGCTTCTTTGACAAAAGAAATGATCAGAATGTGACTTCTTAGGTTTTAGTACCACTGCGGTTTATATGCGTATTTAAAGCTGCATAGTAAAACAGTGCTGACACTAAAAAGTAACCAATTAAAATCGATCACTGTTTTCCCCATGAAAGGCTGCGTGTTGGACAATCACTATCAATATCACTCTAAGTTTGATAAGGCTTCTTTGCCTTTAGTGAAGGTCATCACCCCGTATTCACTTTTCTCTGTTTTGAAAGTAAACATTAAGTACATTGACACCAAAGAGAACTCTATCCCGCAACAAAGAAGTAGTCAAGAAAGAGAAAAACATAGGAGTCAATCTGAAATAAAGACAGATGCTTAAAAAGAGCTAGCAGTTGCTGTGACTGTCACTACTTGTTTAATTCTAGGCCCCTCTTGGCATGCCAGACCCAAGAAGGTGTCACCAGCTTTGTTTTCTATTCTCTTCAAAGCTATGCCATTGAAGGTGATGAAAAGTGTTCTATTTATTAATTAAAAGTCATTTCCCAAAAGAAGCTGGTTGTTCCTCCAAAGAGGTAAGAGTTCCAAAGAGGTATAAATTGTTCACGTGCTGCCAGCTTTTAAAAGTAGGAAGCTTTTGAATGTAGTGGAAAATCACATTAGAATGAACACTATATACAATTAAGGATAAGGACTGATGTTGATTCACAGAAGAGCTCATGAATCAGCGTGAGTAAGGCATACCGAAATAGAACAAAATTTAGGAACTTGCATCCTTAGATTTGCTATTACCCTCTCTTAAGTTTAACTTCCATTCAACACAACTGAGATTATTTGTAACTTTATATTTTTAAAAGAACAGTAAATCAGGCTAAATTAGCCTGGAATCATCAAAAAAAAAAAAAAAAAAAAAGAGTGGTTCAGGTTAAATAAAAGAAAGCACAGGACTGTTTTCATTTAGAAACTTGTGATATAATTGTTTATAGAACTCTTAATAAAACATGTAAGTTATATACACTCCCAGTCTGTAAGAAAATGTCCATTTATAAAATATACACAGGAAAATTAGCCCTATTACTGAACACTACTTTTTCATTTCCTAGCTTTATTAATACCTTTCAGGCTCATCATAAATTACTTTTGGTTATATCTAAATTTGTGACTAACCCACAGAGAGAAAGGATAATAACCAAAATTGAGAAATATAAAGTAATTTGATTCCAATTCTTCAGGTTAAATAAAAGAACACTGAAAACTATTTAAATCAACTTAGCATCAAACAAAAAACTTCCTTCAGTGACTAGTTGTGTATTTAACAAAAATATTTCTATACATACACATTTCAAATAGCAAGATTCATAATATGCATGCCACGTTATCAACTATCATATCTAGTGTGCTTTATACTTTCTGTTTTAATATACATATTTATTAAAATCATACTTTTTCGTTTAAGGCTGCTTAGGAAGCAGATGTGATAGTTTTATTTCTCTTTGTAAGTTAGATCAGTGTTAGGAGGGTTTTCTATTGTTATTTAAAGGTCTATATTAGGTTGTCACATCTTATATTAAGCAAAGAATCCACTCAAGGTTTATATTTAGGTAAAATAAGATTTCCACTTCACCTGAAGAATATAAGATGTGCCATAGAATAGATAACTAAAAATATTCCAAACATCTTTGTGCCAACGAGATGTTTACAGTTTTAAGATAAAAAAAAAGTCTTACTGCCAAACACCTTGGAACTGACCAGCTGTTTGTTTATAATTTTAGGCCAGAAAGGGTCTTGATTTTCCACTTTTAACTAAGTTTTATTTTAAGAAAATGGATAACTGCTAAAGTCATTGAGACGATAAGGCATCATCTCCCTGAGTATCATATTTACAAAATTGCCTAGAGAAATATCAGTCATTTCCTCTTTATTCCAGTCTTCAATTATGTGTTTATTTCTAGGCCTCTTTATTGATGAAGCCAACTGATTTACACCAAATAAAAATAATAGCAAATATTATAATGAGTTCTCACTGTAATTTATTTTTACGTACATTTTATAATAATACCTAATACTCATAATAACCCTCTAAGATTGATACTATTGTTACATTTTAGAGATGGAGAAACTGAAGTTCTGAGAAATTAAGTGACATTGCAAGTCACACAGCCATTAAGTGGTGCAGCTGGCTCTGAAGCCAATGTCTGCCTGAATCTCATCTTTTGATTGCTGTGAGAATTGTGCCTCCAGTTTTATTCTCTCTTCCATATATCTTCAACCTCACTCTCGTTCCTGGCACTTTTTAAGCTTCATACCTCTCCCATTAAAAACAAAAACAAAAAAAATCCCAGCTTCGTTTGTTGGAGTGTCCTTTCCCCAATGTGTGTTCTTGGAGTTTTTGTCAAAAATCACTTGGCTGTAAGTACTTACGTTTATTTCTGGATTCTCTATCTGTTCCATTGGTGCTTGTGTCTACTTTTATGCCAGTAACATGCTGCTTTGGTTGCTATAACTTTGTAGTATATTTTGATGTGGTGACACCTTCAGTTTTTTTTTTTTCTTTTTTTTTTTTTTGCCTAAGATTGCTTTGTCTATTCAGAGTCCCTTATGGTTCCATACGAATTTTAGAATTATTTTTTCTATTTTAGTAAAGTATGTCATTGGTATTTTGATATGGATTGCATTGAATGTGTACATAACTTTGGGTAGTATGGGCATTGTAACAACATTAATTTTTCCAATCTATGACAATGGGATGACTTTCCATTTATTTTTGTCTTCTTCAATTTCTTTCATCAGTGTTTTATAGTTTCATTGCAGAGCTCTTTCATCTTCTTGGTTAAATTTATTCTTAGGCATTTTATTTTTTGTAGTTTTTATAAGTGAGATTATTTTCTTGATTTCTTTTTTAGATGTTTCACTATTGGCATATAAAAACACTACTAATTTTTGTATGTTGATTTTTTATCTTGCCACTTTACTGAATTCATTTATTAATTTTAACTTATTTTGGTGGAGTCATATGTATGAGCATGTCATCTGAGGACAGAGACTATTTTATTTTCTCCTTGCAAACTTGGATGATGTTGGACAAACTGGATATTCACATGCAGAGGAATGATTCTAGACTCCTATCAATAACATTATAAAAAATCGACTCAAAATGAATTAAAGACTTCAATGTAAAACCTGAAACTATAAAATTACTGGAAGAAAACATAAAGGAAATGCGCTATGGCATTGGTCTGGGAAAGATTTTTCAAACAAGTACTCAAAAGTCCAGGAACAAAATCAAAAACAGACAAATGGTATTTCTTCAATCTAAAAAGCTTCTGCCCAACAAAAGAAACAATCAACAACATGAAGAGAAAATCTATAGAATGGGAGAAAATATGTGCAAACTATAGATCTGACAAGAGGTTAATGTCTGGACTATATAAGAAACCTTAACAACTCAATAGAAAATAATCCAATTAAAAATGATCGAAAATATTTTAAATGGTCAAAAGCTGTGACTAGACATCTCTCAAAAGAAGACATACAATGATCTACAGGTAAATAAAGAAATGCTAAACATCACTAATCATTATGGAGATGAAAATCAAAACTACAAGAAAGCATCACCTCACCACAGTAGAATGGCTACTCTCAAAAAGACAAAAGGTAACAAATGCTGGCAAGGATGTGGAGAAAGGGGAACTTACATACACAGTTGGTGAGAATGCAAATTAGCACAGACAAAAAAATTACAGAGGTTTCTCAAAAAATTAAAAATAGAACTACCATATGATCCAGCAGTCACACAACTGGGTATATACCCAAAAGAAATGAAATCAGTATTTAGAAGAGATATCGATCTACAGCCCCATGTTTATGGCAGCACTGTTCACAGGAACTAAGATATGAAATCAACCCAAGTGTCCATCAACAGATGAATGAATAAAGAAAATGTGGTAAATTTTTACAATAGAATACTATTTAGTCACCAAAAATCGAATTAAAGCATGTCATTAGCAGACACATAGATGAACCTGGAGGATATTACGTTAAGTGAAATGAGCCAGGCACAGAAAGACAAATAGCACACGCCACTGCTTATATGCGGAATCCAAAAAAGCTGATCTCATAGATGTGGAGAGCAGAAAAATGGTAATTAGAGACTGGGGAAGGGAAGGAAGGGAGGTATAAGGAGAGACTGGTTAATGTGTACACAGTCACAGTAATTTAGGAGGAATAATTTCTAGGATGCTATTACACACAAGCATGTTATAGCTAACGATATTCTATGGCATACTTCAAAAGGGCTAGAAGAGAGGATTTTGAATGCTCTCACCACAAAGCAACAATGAATTTTTGAGATGATAGAATACTAAATGCCCTGACTTGATCATTATGTAATGTCCATATGTATTGAAATATCTCACTGTACCCAATAAATATGTACATCATGTGTCAATCAAAAATACATTAAGTAATTAAACCATTTTTTAAATACAGCTAAAAAAAACAGTCAACAAAGAAAAAGAAAGCCTTCCTTAGTTCTGTTGTCTCTTCTAGCTACTGTCAAATTTCATGCCTTTCCTTATCTAGTTTCTGCTCTATCACTCTTCAATCCAGCACCATCTGGCTTCAGCTCCACCACACTACAAATCCTGCCCTTGCTAAATAAACCTGTGACTTTATTAGGGATCCATTTCAAGTATGAGTTCAGTTGTGATCTTAACTAATCTATCTTTTGCAATGGGCTCATCATCATCATCGGTTCTTTCTTGTTAATACTCTGAAATTGTACCTCACTGGCTCTTGTTCTGCTCCAGTCTTTTCTTGGACAACACGCTTTGGGGCACCCTTCTCATTAATCTATGCTCCCTATGCTTTCATTTCTCTTGCAATTATTGATGCACATATATAACTGTTTGCAAATTACCTTTACTTGGTAGTTCAATAGACTCAAGTGCCCTGAAGCAAAACATATCTTTTTCATGAACCTGCTCCTCTTCCTATACTTATTTAGCTCCATTTGAGGCATCATTCATTAAATCAAAATAGAAAATGATATAGGAAATTTTCTTGTTTATTCTCTCCCTAGTTCTATTTCACTAACACACTATGTAAGATAATGTGTAAAGTTCTTCTGATTGTTGCCTCAATATATTCATCTCTTTGTCTCTATCTAATCCTTCCCTCTATCCTCAGCCTCTTTTTTATTGCTCACTTGATATTTATTTTCTGAAACACCAACCTGATTTAGTCCACAGCACTCATGCCCCTACTCACGTCTCTTGCGCCTTAAGTGCCTTTCAATTCCAGCCCTTCACCTGCACAACACACCCCAGGTCTACCCCATGTAGGTACCACTCCCTCTGCAACTTACTGCATGAATCCAGGACTTCTTTTCAGTTCTCTCCTGACATTCTATGCATATCTATAGCCTTCAGGTTTTTTAAAATAGAAGTAAAACACAGTGGTTAAATGCATTGCCTCTCTAAGCAGCTTTACCATTTACCAGCAGACAGGTTACTTAACTCCTCTTAACCTTACTTAACTTCTGTTCTCACATCCACAAAATGGAAGACCACCATAGTGCACAAGGAATAGAGTAGTTGTGAGTAGAAAGTAAACTGTTTTGAGCAAGCCCGCATTATATAAACCACTTTACAATATTAATGTTATTGTTTTGAATATTTTCCCCCTGGACTTCCAATAGACACTAAGTTGCTTGAGGGTGGGGTTCATTTTAGTATCAATAACACTGCAAACAAGGCACAGGGCAAGAATCTCTCTAAATTTAAATTGCCTGAGAAGGCTATGTGACCCCACGTTCTAAATAAATGACCCATTTTATTGGATTTTACTCCCTAATTTAAACTCAAGAAGAAGTAGGCATGTAAGATGATAATCAATGGGGAATCTGGCTTGAGACCAAAACCCTATGTATGATTTTTCAGACATCATCACAGGCAATTACAGACCACCTGGTAAGCTTCAGAGGAAAGAGCTGCCCTCCCCACAATAGACTGGGTGCACAGCCAGTGCACTGCAGTCTCTGCAGGGAGTTACAATCAAAGACTTGAGTCCCCTGGCCAGCCATACTCTTATGGATATCTATACTCCTAGATCATATACCTTCATGCAGATCTTCTTTATCTGGAATTTTCAGCAGAGGCCTTCCTCTGCTAAGACCTCCTTATTAGGGGAGCAGGGAAACATGATGACAATTTTCTCCATGCTGACTCAGTGCTCAGTACTTTTCCACTCCTAGTCCTATCTTACCCCCTACCACTAGCTGCTGGTCCATAAAAAAACAGGATTTTTTTTTTCAGGACTCCCAAGGCATAAGTTGACCATCACATCTGTGTTGATTCAAGTGATGCTCAACCAGCACCAGGGTCCAAACTCCTCCATGAGGTCTCTTTCTCCAGTTTAGCTTCCTGCTTACATCATTGCAGTGAGTGATTAATTGACTATTACTTTATTTGGGGTTATTGTGTTAACTGAATACTCAGACAGCTGGCAGCTCAGCTCTCTCCAGCTCTAATAAGTTCCTAACAACCAAGGAAGACATGAAAGATGGAAGGAGATTGCAAAGGAAAAATATTCTGGAAAACAATATTTTGCTGCCCTCACATTACAGGATGGTATAACCTTTTGAGTGGCTCAATGATCTAGAACCAACATATTTCTAGAAGATATCTTAAAAATCCTCTAATCCAATTTATTCATTTAGAAGTGAATATAATGTTGTAAACCTGGAAGACTACGTAACCCGAGGGCACAGCTGGGTGCGAGACAAGGCCATTTGACTCATAGCCCAAAAATGTAACTTTCATAGTGTTATATGTTATGTAGGGTTGAGTCTAAAAACATACCAAGTTCCAGAGTATTCTGTTTCTTCGTTCCCTTTTTGGAGTTACTGTCTATGATGTCACGTAATCATGTATCATGGTGAATTAAATTAGGACAATCTGAGAGCAGATGTGAAAAATCTGTGTATTTGGGTCATATACAAGTCAAGTATCAATGTCTTCAAGTTGCTACATGAACTTGTTTCAGAGTGAAGCCTAAAGATTTTTAAGTGTATATCTTATATTTGAAATTAGGTAGATTTAGATGGTGAAAAGTACACATATTGGCCAATAGGATTTAGTATATATATAACTGATTTAAAACAAAATACTAAATCCTATTGGCCAATATGTGTACTTTTGTGTGTGTGTGTGTGTGTGTGTATACACTATATATATATACACACTATATATATATATATATATATATATATATATATATATATATATATATACACTGCAGTTTTATTTCAATCATACAAACAAAGTTAGCGTGCAGGAAATTTAAGTGAAACAAATGTAAAGAAAATAGTTACGGTAAAAATAGCAGATAACTGAAAATTCTAAAAAGGAAGTGCACCTAAAAGCATGAGAATTCAACATTCGTTAGTGTTTCATCTTCAGTTTTGATTGACACTTGATGCTTGCAAATTTTTAAACAAACTTTTAAATCGTGATGACTATTCTGAAAAGGTTTCAGTACCAACACTAAGATTTGTACATTCAGTTTGTTTGCAATTGACTTGTTAGCCATTTACATAGTGTATAGTACAGATTTAGCACAGGTTAGATCACAGTGTTGAGGAAAGCAGTACCTTCTTATAATTAGAAAGGATCTCCTAAACTGTACTCAGCTTAAGACATCCAATGTACAAGAGCACAAAAACCATTATAATAATGTGGTTCCAAGGAACATAGTTTTGATAAGGAAAGTAACTTAAGCTTCTGTTACCCATTTTAATTACTGAAACCTCTAACAACGACACAACTGTTATGTATACATGACAGCAAATGTATATAATAATTCATTTAGATTTCTTGGAAGGAACACATTTAGCAATCTGGGGTGATGGAAAATATAGCATAATTCAACATTGGTTCTTTTTGTCATTTTACACAGACATCACGTTAATGTTAGACCAAGGCACAAAACGTTTTGTGCATAAACCCAGTCTCTTTTAAGATTTAGCATTTTATTTTAGGCTCTTATCTTAGTATGGACCACTTGTACCCAGTACTCTACCTAATATAGACTATTTAACTTACTATTTTTGTTTTTGTCATTTTCTTTTTGACACGAAGTCTTGTTCTGTCGCCCAGGCTGGAGTGCGGTGGCATGATCTCGGCTCACTGCAACCTCTGCCTCCTGGGTTCGAGCAATTCTTTTGCCTCAGCCTTCCGAGTAGTTGGGATTACAGGCGTGCACCATCACCCCCAGCTAATTTTTGTATTTTTTAGTAGAGTGAGGGTTTTGCCATGTTGGCCAGGCTGGTCTCGAACTCCTGACCTCAAATGATCCGCCCACCTCTGCCTCTCAAAGTGCTGGGATTACAGGCGTGAGCCACTGCGCCTGACTTAAATCAGTTTTAATTGAAGACTTCCAAGAATGAGGGTGCACATATTAGGGAGAAGACCACATGTTCTCCAACTGCATGTATTCCTCGATGAGAAGCAGTGATAATGTACACTTTTCCAAAAGAATGGTGATCAGTGTCAGAAGTGCTCGTGAGCACGTGAGGTTAGGTAGTGCATGATTATTCTGATTTTACAACAAAGAAAACTGGATGAAGCTGAGAAGTGATTTGGGTCTTCCAAAACCTAGTATAGCACTTTCTACCACAGCGTATTCAGTGGTTACTCTATGAGCCTAATTTCAGAGTCTAAAATAATGTTGAAATAAAGGACAGGAAATCAAGAAATTCATCTTTGAGAACAGATAGACTCTGAGACTCATCTTTGTGTCTTAAACTTTTCATTGTTACTTTTCCATTTCTACTGCATGATATTTGTCAGTTTCCCCTAGCTAGATACATCCAATGCTCATACTTTAATTGTTTTTAAAAAAAAAAGAAAGAAAAATACCGCTGGCATGAAGCTAAAACTCATGCCCTAATAACTGAAACACGTTTTGCAGATCTGCCAACTAAGTCTCCTCTCTAATTGTGTGCCTTCTATAAAAAGAGCCAAATTAAAAAAAAGTGCAGTGTAAATATCCTTAGTTATGAATAAGACCATTAACCTCCTTTAGACTTTAGATAGCATGAAAGATCTCAGTAAGAATTACAAAGGAAGTCTTAGCTACTTTTTATCCTTAATTGTGTTGTTTATTTAAATGAAGATTTTTTTTCTAAGTTTGTAAATTATGTAAATTTTCTTTTTAAAAAGTATTGTTATCATCATGCATATGGAACACTACAATGTCTTTTAACATTAGACCCAAAAATAACAGTTACTGATCTAAAAATTATGATTTATCTCCTAACAGGCCATTCATTTATTCACTAAGTTTAGTTATTTAAAATGGTTAATCCTAAGGTTAAGATTTTTTTCTTTAGAAAAACCACCTAGAGTATTCTACAAATTATCTGCCAAGCAGAGCAAATTGGAATTTACAAAAAGCTAACGTCAAAAACATGTTAAATACTTGCACTCAAATGGAGAAAGAAAAAAAAAAAGCCTGCTTTGATTGAGCAAACACCACAATGAAATATCTTATACATTAACACCACTAGAGGGCTTGATACATTTTGCTTCATAAAAGCATTTCTTACACCACGTTATTTTTTGGTATAAATAAAGTTCTATATGCTCATCATTCTAATCATGGTTATTTTTTAAAAAGACACACATTTACATGTGTACATAGATATAAAAAATGTTCGCTTAAGTGATTTTATCAAAGGGAACTTGTATAAAGTGAACACTGTTTTAAGCAAGTTAAATAAACTGGATGGTTTCAAATATCACGTAGTCTTATATTTCATTGAAAAGTATTTCTGCAAATCTGCATTTAACAACATGGTTCTGATAAATGGCCTAAGCCATGTTAGAAGAAAATTATGGTTTAAGTAACACGAAAATTCCCTTCTGTTGCAAGTTACCAATGATATTAATTAAAAATAATTTCACTTCATTTAAAATCATCTCTATGGTAGAGGAATATTTACCTTCACGGAAATTTCTCTATGAATCTAACCTAGATAAATTATATTTAAAAAGACATATTAAATATTATCATCTCTCAATTTCTTTTTAAGTAGGGCAAGTAACACACTTAGTAGGTTTGATTTTTGTTTTGATTGCTAACTTGGCGTTAAGTCAATTTCCTTATTCAGCTATATCGCGAATACGTGTTTTTGTGGGACTATGAAAGAGTAAAAATTATGACTCGGCTAAAGCAAGCACATCTTACAACTTTTTCAGAAAACGTTATTTGTCCATTCAAAATATAAATTAGATCCACCACCTGTTTTGGATGTAGGTAAAATGTTACTACAAATAAAATTTTCAAAATCTGAAGTGGAAAGGGTAAGTTATTGTTACATTCTAGGAAATAAAATAACTCTAGTTTTACAAATGCAAAACAAAATTTTAATTGTTTCCTTCACAGAGACTTTTTTCCAAATTATGTGTTCAGTTGTGGGAGGAAAAGGTAATAGGATATTTTTAAAAGAGCTTTCATTATGTAAGTAATTTCTCTGGTTAACAAGTCCAAGTTAGTAAGATAATAAATAAGTTCATAAGTCAAAATATAAGACATATTTGACATTTGAATCTTTGTACATATATTCATATTTGAACGTGTATTGTGGTGACAGACAACATATGTAGCCATCTGTACAGCACAGGTATAACCAAGCTGAATGCCTTACTGGTGGATTCTGGTTGAGTCTCAGCTAAGAGGTCTACATATGATTTCAAAATCTAAAGAAACTCCAGTTGTCTGGAGGCTTTTCTATTAAATACCTTCTCTGTCTGAATTTCCCCCTGAGGTTGTATGTTTCCTTGCCATTCACAGGATCAAAGACATTGTAACCTAAGAGATATAACAGGCCATCGTTAGTCTAACAGTGAAATGGCTATCAAATTCAACCTCTTCACCAAGGGTAATAGCACTTACCCCTGAATTGCATTAGAGTGCTGCAGAATGTTAAATTGGAAGCCTATTTCTTCGTTTATATGATCAGATGAAGTCCTCAGGCCAGTTTATAAGATTGTTTTTCTCTTTATGAATGCAATGGTTTTGTATGATAAAATTATAGATGCATGATTAAAGAGTACTTGATAACTTCATTAGATACAGATTGAACATTCTATTAATTGAAGTTGGTGCTATAATTTTTGGTACTTCTATAGATTCTAAACCGTCACCAAAATTAAAATAGCCTGGCTTGTAAAAGCTTCTCATTCTGTTATTTTTCAAATCCTGTAACTCGTAACGCATTTCTTATTCATAGTAAGATTATGATTCTTCTCAGCATAGCTTTACAATTAGTTTACTTCCTCATCAGAAAGCTGTCACACTCTCAAGTATATTCTAGCAAAGATCACTTTGATATCATAAATAATTATCATTTTGTCCTTCACTTTTGTTTATATCAAATATTTACTCAATTTAAGGGATTCTATAACCAGAATAATTTTCCCCTTCTGTGTTGCTATCCCTGCCACTTAGTATTTTAGTTTTTATTGTTCTGCCCATTACTGCTACTACACTACATCTACTATTCTTAAATTCTGTGAAAGTGTACAACATACGAGGTTATGCAGCAACAAAAAAATAAACATTCTAAGTTCATTACACAATACTTACAGTGACACACGGCTATTAGCTGTCCTAATGCTTCATCCAGAATAAAGATCACATGAGAGGAATATCCAGAGGTTATTTTTAATCTCCTTTCTCTAGTTTACATGATCACTTCATTCAAGTCTGAAAAATAAAAATTGTATGCATCTTACTATCAAATAAATATGTCCAGTTCTATGTAATCTGTAAAACAACAAGAAAATGCTTGGCATTTCACAGAATACGATGTTTCTAAATACTGAGAGAATAAATGATTAAGAATTTAAAAAATTAAATGTATATATGTAGCAAAGAACCATAGGCCAACAAAAATAGTATTAAAATATGCATTAAGCAGGTGAAATATCACCCCTTTTACTCCCCAAATAAGGTGGGAAATGAATCTCCACACACTCAGAGTCATCTTAATCACATTTATTCTTTTAAGTATATTTAGGATAATAAGAATGATAGGAAATATATATTTTTTTTATTTCCACCAGTTAAGTGACTTTTATGAACCAACCCTGAATATTTGGATGAGTGAATAAATTAATTTTTAGTATACATGCAGCCGTAGAAAAGTCCATTTATCCTTCTATATCCAGTAAGCTATGTATATCCATATTATGTTTTAAAAAGAGAGCATTTATCTAAATATAGTGAGAGATTCATTAAATAAAATTATTAAAAGAAAGTATTAATTTTTCAGTAAGCTGTCCCTGGAGAAGACAAACATCTGAAGGTATCTTTAAATTTGGTGACCTCCCATCTGCAACGGGAAAGGCATGTGTCTTCTTTTTGCCTCTAGTTTAGCTATCGTTTGAACTCAAACCAATGACATCAATGGAAAATACTTCCAGTGGAGTTGGCCTTCCTGGTTCCTGATCCGTATTACACTGTTTTAATAAGAATCTGTTTAATATCTTCTAATAAAATCTACAAAGTTTTAAGATATGGTTGCTTTATTAAAAAACAAAAACAAAACTTTTGAGTAAAAATGCTATAACCCCCTTACTCCCACCTCCCAAAGCCAGAATTTAGTGGATTCATTTCATGTGAGCCCTGAAGATTGTTACAGAGAATAATAGTAGCCGAAGTTACCCAATGTAACCTTTGTAATCTCACTCACTGTGAGAGGAGGATGCAGAAGGAATAAATAACTTGATAAAAACCCGCCTCGAAGAAACAACATCTCTACCTCTCAGTGCAATTACTAGATGTCAGTCAGCAGTAGCATTGAAGGCGCATAACCCACTTCCTTTCTGATTGGTTAGTATGTCCATTCTGATTTTTAATATCACCCTTGCCTCTGGCCCATGACTTTTTATTTCATTCTTGATCATATAATTGTCAGTTCTTGCTGTTCAAGAATTTTAAAAGATAATTATTTATTGATAATAATTGTACATAAAAATTTCAAAGTAAAGAGTTGATTACAGTTTCAATTTCTTTTTTCTTCAGTTATAACTTCAATTTTCCTTTTTGTTTGTTCACTATTTTTTCTCTTCAACGTCCAATAATACATGTAAGTTCTCTTTTGCCTCCCTTTTGAATCTCTCATATCCTTTCTAATGACTTCTATATTTGATCCTTTGATATTTTCCACAGCTGTTACTCTACGTAGGCTTTTGAACAAGTAATTGTTAAGAGGGTTAATGGAAGGGAATGATTGTTGTTTGCCAGTAGGCCTAGATTGCCAATCTTTGCTCCCTATTTGATTCATTCAAGAAATTATTTTTAAGTGACCTGACTTGATTGGCCAATATTTAGCCTGGTTTGCTATTTAATTTTAGTATTTTTTATTTATGAAGTAATATAGATGGCTATAGCTTACTGGAACCCAGTGATATTTTTCTGTGTTAAATTTTCTAAAGTTAATATCCATACTATATTAAGAAATCTGTAATTTGAGGGGAAATAGATTTTTTTCATAGATTTTCACAACTCAAAATCTGTATACCACAATCCAGGAAATCCACAACTAAGAAGGAGGTCAGCATATATTTGCAAGCTGTTGATATTTAGGCATAGTATAGCTCTTGTAATGTTTTCAATGGTATTTAAAATCTCAGAATAGTCAACTAAAACAGCTATGTGTTGGCTTCATTATATTTTGGTAAGCATGTCTAGGAACCAAGCCACCATTAAAAACACAAATAATGGTCAGAAAGGAACACAGCATTCTGACTTCCAGTTTGAGATTCAACACGCAGAGACTCTTGTCCATTTCCCCTTAGCATCCTACTCACTCCTTATCAGAAGTCACTGCTCCCTTGAAAAGTGTTTACCACTGGGGGGAGGGATAGCATTAGGAGATATACCTAATGTTAAATGATGAGTTAATGGGTGCAGCACACCAACATGGCACATATATACATATGTAACAAACCTGCACGTTGTGCACATGTGCCCTAAAACTTAAAGTATAATAAAAAAAAAAAAGAAAAGTGTTTACCTCCCTCTCACACACTTAAATCCACAACAGAAGCGCCTAAATATTTGGCTAAAACAGAAAATAATTTACATGATCATGATAAGAATAACAACAAAATAACAGTAAATAAGATCTATGAATGATGACTCTATGTCAGGTTGACATTTTATGTGGATTTTTTTTCATTTGTATATGAAATAAGTACTGTGATTATCATCTTCACATTGCATATCAGTAAAGTGATGCCAGGAAAAGCTAAGTAATTTTCTCAGGGTCATGCACCTAGCTAGCAACGAGTCAAACCTGTTTCACGACAAGGTTGATCCCATGTTCCTTCTATTAAATCATGTCATTTTGTGACTAAAATATTTGTGATAGAAAATAAAGTTTTTAAATTAACCAAGTAATCAATGTCACAATATATAATACATTACTGGCAATACTTCAATTTTAAAACAATATAATGTAAACATGTGATTTTTTTAAATGATAAGAAAAAATGCTGAACATGGTAAGAACTGAATCTTCTGAAGTATCATAGTCACATTAAATTAAATAATAAGGATATGAATGTCAACATGATAAAATGCTGAATTTCAGAGTTAAGTCACTGTAGAATATATATGGGAAATAAAAAGACAATATTTAGGTGTCTTTCAGAAACCTAAATATAGTTCAGATATATCCTGTGTTTTTTAAGTTTTCACAAATATAAATAATCACATATACCTGATTTTCCAACATTAAGGAAGATTTTAAAAAAATGTAAAAGATGTAAACGTGTCTATACATTGAGTCATTTAAGTTAATACAATATTTAAGTAATAAGATTCAATCCAATCCTGTGTCATTTACATTAAAATAAATGAAATATTGAGTCTCCAATCACAACCCTGCTAACCCATATCAAATAAGTTCATATTTTTGACAGAAAGTGTTTGAAGGCTAACAGATTTATTCTTTCAAAATAAACCAGATATGAAAAGAAAGTAAGGAGGCTGGTGTAGACAGAATTTTAAATAAATTAAATTACAACTTCATCCTATATGCATTGCTTTCACATCAGTGGTTCACATTAAAAAATCTATATAGAATATACTTTAAATGACGATGACAATTTTAATGAGGAAGGGTTCTTTTTTTAGCTTTTTGCTATAGTTTCTTGTTTGTTTGTACATTTGCTCTATAATTCCATGCTAGTTCCTTCAATGACTAAAGAAACTCTTGGCTTTCACAAAACCCAGTATGTGAGTTGATGTAGAGACTTGCTGAAGAACTTCAGGAGAAACATACAAAATATACATCTCCCTGATCTGCAGGGTCAAATCAAGCTAATAGGCTAAGAAATTGAAAGAATGCACAAATTATAACCTCAAGAAGTATGTCATTTCCTCATTAAAAAGTCTTTAAAGTTAATTGTAATTCATGTGAATTTTTCTTTTTTAAAGATCTTCCATGCTGAATGGTAGTTTTAATATCTAAGATTACATCTAATCTTTTTTAGGTCAGCAATTGATAAAACGTTTGTAAATGGGGAAAAAAAACCTTGACATTTACTGTTCAATAATCCAAACAAGGACAAAGAATTTGTCTTCAAAGTATCAGCCTGGAAGGGCACAGCACTTACAAGATGAAGAATGGAGGGGGGAAAGGTCAAATTCACATTGGTCCAAAATGATAAAGTTGTCAAAATGTGGAACTGGTGGGAGGTGAATTATCCTCAAAGAAAATAATTCCTTTAGTTAGAACAGTAATTGTTTTTAAAAGTTACCTAAACATTACTGGCTCATCATTATTTTAAATTGCACAGATAACACCAATATTATATTCTGAATTTCACTAGCTCTTTTTTAAAGGTATGGATCACAGTTGCAAATCTTCCTAACCAATTACTAGAAATATTAATTTTCTTCCATTTTATAATGTAACCATTTTATGTTGTAAACAATCTGCCTTGACTAATTCATGTTTCTGAAATGATGGGAAAGTAATAATAATTAAAATGACATTTATGATTAGAACGTTTATATTTCTAACCCTTTAAAATACAAAAAAAGAACTTTGTCAGGCAATTTTTTATACAAAGATATAAAAGGTGGAAGATATACATTTAAAGATTTTGCAGTCCCGTTGAGAAAGAGATGGGGAGACCCACACACAAAAGAAAAGGCTGTTTTTTCTTAAACCAAGTCAAACTGGGCCTTGCACCTCTACAAAACAGTCATAAAACACTTGGAAAGGTTGAAGTCTTTTCTGCACTGTTCAAGCAGTTGTCCATTCTGAGTCCTCATTGGATGCAAATATTGGTAGCATCTGACCCATTGATCATTGGCTTCTGAATCTATCCCAAAATGGTTTATTTACTTGCCACCTCTTTCCCACCTCGCTTGTCAGTCTCCTTGGCTGGTTCTTCCTCATTTCCAGATCTAAGGCCTTAAATCAGAGTGCCCAAGAGCTCAGTCTTCAACTTACTCTGTCCCCTTTTTACCCTGATGCTTATATCTGCATTGCCCAATATGCTAAAACTCACCACATGTGGTTATCTAAATGTAAATTTAAAAGAATTAGAATTGAATTACATTAAAATATATGGCCATTCAGGCCAAAATCTTGTTTACTCTTGTCTTTTATCTTCTATATCAAAATAATCGGCAATCCATATGGATTCCACATTCAAAATATTTTTACCAAGAATGTACAGTGTTTTTTTAGTCTGGGTGCAGTGGCTCACGCCTGTAATCCCAGCACTTTGGGAGGCTCATGAGGGCGGAACGCCTGAGCTCAGGAGTTCAAGACTAGCCTGGGCAACATGGTGAAACCCCGTCTCTACAAAAACACAAAAATTAGCTGGGCATGGCAGTGAGCGCCTGTGGTCCCGGCTACTCGGGAGGCTGAGGTGGGAGAACTGCTTGAGCCCGGGAGGCGGAGGTTGCAGTGAGCTGAGATCGCACCATTGCACTCCAGCCTGAACGACAGAGGGAAACCCTGTCTCAAACAAACAAACAAACAAACAAACAAACAACAAAAGAATGTCCAGTGTTTTTCAAAAGAAGACAATGTAAAAGCAAGTTGGGAAGGAAAAGAAAATCTGAGACTATAGACAGAAATCAAAATCTGGAAGGAAATTTGTCAATATCTATCAAAGTTACATTTGCATGTACCTTTTGACTCAGCAATCCCACTTCTAGGAAATCTATTCCAAAGACACAATAGCAAAAATAGGAAAAAATACAAGCACAAGGCTATTCATTGCAGCACTATTTGTAATGGCAGAGTGGAAAGAACCTAAATGTCCATCAACAGGGGACTGATTAATAATCTAGTACCTCCACAGAATGAAGAATTGTGAGGCTACAAAATGGAATGAGGTATATCTCTATGTATTACTATGGAGCGATCTCTGGGATATATTGTAAATGAAAAAAAGCACAGTAAAGAAAAATGTGTGTGAAATGAAAGCAGTTATCTATATGTCTTTGTATCATATTATTTATAGTATATAAAATATATATGAAATTTAGACATAGATATAGATATATTTCCAGAACCTTTTCACTTCTAATCACTCCCAAAACTATCACCCAGGCATAAGCCACCATTTTCTTGGGACTGGATCACTATAATAGTTTTTTAAAGATAGTAGAGGCTGCTTCCATTCTTGTCTCTAAGTCCATTCTTAAGACACAGTGACCCTTAAGAGTAGCTTGGATCAAGACAAGCTTCTGCAAAATCCATCTAATGGCTTCCAATCCTCTTCCTGTAGCTTTGTAGACCTCACTTTATCTGCTCTATCCTCCCCCTCTCATGAACTCTGTTTTCTTAGTGTACTTGAACCACAGCAACCATGTTTC
Source organism: Homo sapiens (assembly GCF_000001405.40). Classification (NCBI taxonomy): domain Eukaryota; kingdom Metazoa; phylum Chordata; class Mammalia; order Primates; family Hominidae; genus Homo; species Homo sapiens. Next base: position 180,142,670 of record NC_000004.12, on the reverse strand, counting down.
TGCCTCAGGGCTTTCACACTTGCTTCTTGCTTTCTACAGTCTTTCCTGCGGCCATCATCATGTCTTTGTCACTCACTTTCCTTTAGTCTTTGGTCAAATATTCTTCTATCTCCGGGACTTCATCACACTATAGAAATATGATCTTTCTCCCTCACATGTATCCCTTGATTTATAGTTGGAATAAAGGAATTCCCTCCTGTCTTATCCTAATTTATACTTTGATTACTTTCCAGACATATTCTCTTATATATCATAGATAATCATACTAATATTCTTCCTTTAAAAATGCAACCACTCTATTCCATAATGTGCCTTTTTATATTACTAAATATAGCAAGGCCATAATTCCAAGTTAATAAATTTTGAATAATATAATTCATTTGAATAGTATTATGATTGTGTTTTGCATGTATATTCCATCAAATAATAATAGTAAGTAAGTTTTTATCTGATTTAGGAGTATTAAAAACAGCACTGCAATGAACATCCTGGTGTATGTGTCCTTGAACAATGGACCAATATTGTACTAATTTCAAATCCAAATACTAGAATTGATTTGATAAATGATATGCATATTTTTGATTTGGATCAAGTGTTATAAAATTAAACCTTTTTAGACAGGAAACACAACTTTATCTTTTAAATCATTACTAATGATGATTTTTTTAATTTAATGTTCTTGAGATTGAATATTTTAGCTGATAGTACTTTTTTTAAGTTTATTACGCAATACCCTATTCCTCTACTCATTTTTCTAATGAGCTGTTGAATATTTTTCATTGCATTGCATAAACTATTTCTATATTTATGTCTATTAACACGTTTTTCTGCTATCACACATATGCAAAGATATATACATATATCTATGTATACGCATTTAAATAAATATCATGTCTACACACATGCAATGTCATTGTCTTTCAAATATATTTATGAAATGTACTACTTTGTCATTCAGAAGTTTCAATTTTTATTAGTCAAATCCATTGTTTTAATTTTAAGCTCATCATTTCTGAATTTTGCTATAAGCACTGTTTTTTACTGGATATTTACCTAAATTTTTTTCTTTGCATATGTTTGCACTCCAGTTTATGAATAATATAAACATAGCATGCACTTAACACTCAAGTTCTCTGGAATTAAGTTGCTATTTGGAGATTCCACATTGTGTACTTCATTTCCCATACCCTTCCCCGCAGTGACTAGACAACTGATTTTAAAGATATATTGAATATTAACTAGAGCCAGTTTCTTCGCTCTCTGGTTTTTTTCTTTTTCTTTTTTTTGTTACTGATTTGCCTCTCTATTCCCATAAGATTTTTCCTTACTATTCCTAAATGTTTACTTTTCCAGACCAGCAGTTCTTAGTGGTATGTGGATACTGAGACTAATATAATCACGTGCTGAGTTGAGAGAAGCTTCTGGAAATCACACATGCTCCTTAGAATTTCTGATATCGTTTTTAGGAATAACTTTTTGAAGTAAGTTTGAAGTTACTGATCTCCAGAGGTCTATTACTTCTTTTTTTGAGTAAATTACAAAGTTTAACAACATGATGCAGATTTAAGATCCATTAATAAAGAAGGGTTTAATGTTTTTCTGTAATTTTGAAAATATAATCTCCATTCATAAGGGTATTCCATATTTATTGCTCATAGATGAAGTTTTCTCCCTTGCTTAAAAAAGTCATGTTACCTGGTGATTAATCAAGTTTTTATCTCTCTCTCTTTTTTTTTTTCTTTTGAGACTGTCTTGCTCTGTCACCCAGGCTGGAGTGTGGTGGTACAATCACGGCTCACTGCAGCCTTGACCCCCTGGGCTCAAGTGATTCTCCCACTCAGCCTCCAAAAGCACTGGTACCACAGGTGTGAGTCAGGGTGCCTAGACTTTGTCACCTCATTAATTTTTAATCTTATCTTTATTGATTTTGTCTTTGAATTCCATTGAACTAATTTATTGCCTTACTTTTTATCAGATTCATTTATTCTTGTTGTTGATGATGATACCAGGGTTAAGTATGTAATGTACCAACTTTCTCAATACAGTCACCTAAATACTGGGGGTATTAGAATATTCAGGTAGGTAAAAATAACAAATATGCATCTTATATTTGGATTGTGTAAAAATTATTTCATTATATAAATATAGAAAATGAAGCTCAACAAAATCTTTAGTTGTTGGGAGGGACAAGCAAAGACATCATGATTTTCAACCAGGCTTTTTCACCTTAGAGCAACATTCCATACAGTGGCGCATGCATAATTGCTTATGTTTATCAAAGTGTGGCATAGACCTTATGTCTGGAGAAGCACTCATTTAAAGCAAAGCATTTCTTCTCTGTATATTTAGATCTTTTTGATAACCATGTATCTGTGTGTAAACATATATTTATACATACATATGAAGCATTCCAGAAATTGCAAGAATAAAAGTTTATGTCTCCACAAAAATTCTTATGTTGAAGCCTAATCACTAGTGTGATAGGATTAGAAGGTGGGGCCTTTGGGAGGTGATTACATTGTGAAGGTGCAGGCCTCACGACTTGGATTAGTGCCCTTATAAAAGAGGCCCCAGAGGCCTTGCTCCTTCTATCATGTGAACACACAGCCAGAAGATGCCATTTAAGAATCAGGAAACATGCCCTCACCAGGAATTGAATCAACTGGTACTTTGATCTTGGACTTCTCAGCCTCCAGAACTATGAGAAATAAATTTCTACTGTTTAGAATCTACCCAGGCTATAGTATTTTGTTATAGCAGCTGCATGGACAAAGGCAAATTATAAATCATTAAAGAGTTTCAAATAAATACATTCGATTATATCAATATTAGATTTTTATAGCAAGTGTTGTTAACTGTAAGACAGAGACGTTTCATTTAATATAATTGACACAAATCCTATAACACAAAAAATAAATAGCCTTGCTTTGTCCATATAAACTCAAGTAACACAAATATTACATCATTACTATCATGAACAAGTTCAAAACAGGCAACGAGAATTAAAAGTGAGAATAAATGCTATATATACAGAACATAGTACATAGAGTGTAGCCATTTAGTATGTTTCTCAACTTACATTTTCCATTTCTATGAAGCTATGAAGCATTAACACATATACAGAATATATGTGAATCTATTGAGTATAGTACAATTAAACTAATATAAAATTCTATCAAGAGAATTCTTATTCTACCCTTGTTCATTCTGCTGTGTCTTATAATGGCACATCTCTATGTCTGAATATTATATAATATAATGCTCTATTTTTTAAAATGTGGATATCTGATGTATTTTTGTTTGTTTCTTTTGATAACTGCTATTTCATCATTTTATTTTTCATTCATGAATGCAAAATGTCCTCGTTACACATAAATGTAAACAGTTAAACTATGAGGTATGTAATTTTACAATAGTTTTTAAGGAGGAAAATTAATTTTTAAAAAAGTTCCATTTCCGTGTTATGGCATACCATAAAAATAAATCTAAATACCTTTAATTAGTGTAGTGGTAGAAAATTATTTAAAATCACCTAAACAAAATGTAACTGCTATAAAAATAATCATGCACAAACTCTAATTTATTAAATATTAAGTTGAATAAAATTGTATTGACATTATAATTAAAAACACATTAAAAATACATATAAATAAAACAAGGAATAAAAAGGAAATGGAAATAAGAAAGTTAAGTCACTAAGATGGAGAACGTGGGAATTTTTTTCTGTCATTTTTGTTACTTCCTATAATATTTGATTGCTATTTGTATAATGACAAAAATTTCAAAAATTGTATTTAGAACTGGATTCTCAAAACAGGTTGGCATTGAGTTTTTATTTCTGTGAACTTGTTGACAAAACTTCCAAAGTTACTGGTTGCAGCACCCCACCCCCACCCCACACACACACACAGTCACAGAGAGGCCCAAAGTGTCACCATGAAGTATAACCAGAAGAAACAATTGAAAGTAATAGCTATTATCTTTACACAAACTCACAGATGTGTACAGACGCACACAAAAGAATTTGAAAACCACAACAACAAGATCAAATTGTTACATCAAATACTCATTATGTCTTTTTTATAGGCCAGATGTATTTTAAGCTGGTACATACCTAATTAAACCTACAAGAAAGGCTTAATTAAGACTATTTGAATTCATTCCATTCTGCTAGCGTTGCATCTGTTGGTAAGATCAAAGCAAGAGTGGCAATTTTGTTTCTACTGACAGAAGATATGTGTGTGTGTGTGTGTGTGTGTGTGTATACATACATATTTCACAACACAAGTACTGAATTGATGTATATATTTCAATTTAAGTGTTCCCCTAAAGTAAACATGGTTCTGTGTTTCTGGAAATTATTATGTGCATATCATGTGTAAGCCTTGGAATTTCTAACAAATATTTAAATATTTTATATATCATAAATAATACAAACAAGACAAAAGTAATATGGACAATCTAGGCCTTTTCCTTAAAACATAGCTCTTTCTTTTCTATTATTCCTAAAAATTTTCATATCCTAATAAATCTGTGTTTGATTTATTTTCTTAATAATGCCATTTTTCTCTTACTGGTTCACTCTATGCGAATTCAAATTTCAATAATATAATTCTAAATGGAATCTGTTTCACAAAATCAGATTCCATTCTCTACTTAAAACTCTGCTCATGACAACCTTTCGCTGGGGAGAAAAAACTCTGGTAGTAATAATTCATTTTATAATGATTTCTTTGTTTTCATGATTTTTATTTCTTCAAAGTAATATGCAAACTTCTTACATCCCACATTCTTCATACTTAGAAACAGGATGTAACTATATAGTGAAATGTTTTAGAATATATTTCATGTTGTTTCCAATCTTGACTACAAATGGAAAAGCCATCATACAATTAATTGCTATCAAACAGTACCTTCATTATTACCTATCTACCTATAACAACCTCAGTAAAACTATAATAGCTTTAGGTAAGCAGCATTCATTCTGGATGAAAAGTTGTCAGCTGCAATATGGTGGGTTTCATCTGGAACATGATGGGTTGTAAATACACACATAACCACAATTTTTCAAATCTAAGACCAATATTTCTTTTCATTTTAACATGTTTTAAATTAGTATACATACTACAATGGATTTCCAAAGAAACTTGCTGGCCATTTCTGTCTTTCTCCCAGGAAAGCTGATATTAGATCAATGGTATCTTTGACACATATTGACATCTTAGAACTGAGAAAATAGAGTATAAGCTATGGATCTCAAAATGGCTGATGCTAGCAATAGCATAACAGTATATTAACTCTACTACCACTAATTATTTTATTTTCTTGAATGTGTCCATATTAAGGATAGTTCAAACATTTATAATATGGGTTATTTCACTAGGAATTGTTATTTTTTTTAAGGCGTACCTCTTATCAACTGTAGTTAGTGGAAGGATATCAAAACAATTACCTCCCAAAGCAAATGTTATCTTAATGCAAAGTATCCACATAATGAATCAACAAACTCTGCATAACAAAACTGCTTTAGTTATGGGAAACTTAAACAGATTCCAGGATTATATATATTACTTATTTTTAATTGCTTACACTAAAAGCTATTAACATTTCTAGTTTTACTTTCAAATTGAAACTGGTGTTAAAGCACAAATATTAGCTTATTTACATGTCAAATATGAATTATACTAGCAAATACACCACACTAATCAAACCTGTTACAGAAAGAAAAATACTATATTAGCGCTGTATCACTTAGGTGGTAGAATTAATTTAAAAGAATAACCAAATGAATGAAAATCTTAAGAGTGATTGAAAAATATGCAAGAAAATATACATAGCTGAGTTAACACATGATACTACCTACCACTTTTTAAAAAGTAAACTATCCAAAACTTCACTGAAAGAGCTATAATTTTATTAATAAAATATTCATTACTAAAATCTTTGCTCATTTAGAGAATGTTTTCGCTATTTATCCTCATAGCTTATTTAAAATACATTAACATGGCTTACCGATAATTTTAATGGACCAGCTGTGTTGGCTCACAATTTATTTTTAAACTTACTATATCCAAAGTAGTTTTTGTTTTTATACTATGCTGCTTGTTTCTTTACCTCTGAATGAGCATTGGAAGCATGTGGACAGGAAGTCTGCTCAATGAGCCAGTTTTTCTACATGATATCAGGCATTTAAAAATTTGAAAAATCAACTTTAGAAAAGTAAAAAATTAAAAAAATCTGCATAAAATTAATCACAGAGTTTTAATACACTATCTGGAAGATGTCGAGACCACATATCCAACAAACATATCTATTACTTTTTAATTTTCATTACAAAGCAATTGTTACCATCAGGTCCACAGTGACATGATGGTACTGTGTAAGGAAGCAGCCAGGTCGGCTCTGCCTTCCTGTAATTCCTGTGGACATGCATACTGCAAAACTCTGCTCTTCACTAGCACCTCTTTGGTTCTCTTATCACTGTTGCATTCCAAATAAATGTTGCTTAAGGTCACAATCACAACCTCTTTCGAATTCAAGAAACATTTCTACTTCCCTTTCTTCCATGGATGGGATTCAATGGCGGCTTTAGTTGTGAATATATGTTATCATACATTTTTATGGTAGCAATCAAAACACATTATGTCAGAAATGGAAATAAAAACAAGATTTCCAGTTTCTACATCCGATAGGCTAAATTATGTTTTCCTCTTTCCATAATTCTAGCATTTTCTGGAAGATTTAAGGGGAAATATTTTTTAAACAAGGAACTATTTAAAACTATGTTTAAAAAATTTTTAAGTGTCTGCATGTCATAATTTCCAGTGGATCTCACGCAATCTATCCAACGACTATACAGTGGAAATAAATGATATAATTTGAATCTCTCTACTTGAGCAGGGTAAAATGGAAGTCATAGTGAAGTTAGAAAGAAATTATCCCTTCAGTAAAGAATATTGGGATTGCTACTAGAAAAAGTACTATAACACAAAAGATAAATAAAACACAGGCAAGGCAGTGGTGGCAGGGAGAAACCAGGTATATTAATACAAAGACAAAAATAAATTATATGTGCATAAAGTTTAAAACAAATAATGGGGTAAATCCTATGGATTACTAGGATTATTTTTACAATCAATGTTTACTGAAGAGATACCCAATTCTAGCAATATTGTAAGTGATTAGTTACTTACAATGGGATACAATGCACAGTTCTGTTCTCTAGGCATATAATCTCTTGAGAAGGTTAAGGAAAATCTATCTGTCTATCTATCGATCATCTATCATCTATCTATCTATCTAATCTATCTATACACATAACTGCAATATGAAGCACTTGTTTACAAAGTAAGTTTAAAAATATATTGTTAACTCTGGGTGCAAACAAAAAAATCAGCTATAAAATTATTCACAATTACACCAGGTCTACATAATTCTCTTACATAAAACAAGTCTTCTTCAACATTGTCAGCCATCATTATCTTTTTCAGTAATTCTGAAATCCTACAACCCCTCTTGCTTTGTTTAAAGCCCTAATCAAATAATGCTCTTCTGTAACTGGGCTACTCACTTCAATATATTGTCTATTAACAGCAACAACAAAACTCTCCAAAATGTATACATATATACCTTTGAGTTCTGCAATTTAAAGTCGAAAGTTAATGCCTTTCTGTGGTGTTTTTTATACTTCTTCTTGCAAAACAAAGCCCTGATGTGTATCTTAAATTTACTTGCAAGTATCATGTTATAAAACTCAGTATTCCCGGCTTTTCATTTTCTTCAAATCCTTATCATTCAGTAAATTACACATGATAGACAAAATTTCAACACCAACCAAACAGTAATATCCACAATTTTACCCATTAATACTAGCAAAAATACGATATAATTTGGACTTCACTGGATTGAAAACATAATAAAATGAAGACAAAATCTGATCACTCCTGAGCTATGAGGAAATGAACCATGGAAATGATCATGTGGGGAAATCCAGTTGCATGCTTAGGCATGTGTGAAATTTGTCAGCAAGGTGAGCATTCAGTAAATTTTCAGATAATAAGGTACATGGCATGTGTGAAAGGACAATCTATTAACAGGACAACCTTTAAAACACAAATATAACTACTTGCTGTTCTCTACTAGCACAAGAAGTGAGTGGTGGTTCTGGTAACGGTCTGTGAAAGGGTCACCGAGGAAAGGAAAGGGCTGCTGAGAACGGTCTGCAGTGCTTTTGTTTCCTTGCTTCCATGGACGACAGGTTGAGTGGGGTGGCAACAGTATGAAAGCATTTCGAGTGTGACAGACTCTTGATCAGTCTCCTCCTTTTACCCTATCAGGAGTAACTTTACAGATATACATAAATCAGAGTACAACAGGGAGCCCTTGTTCGCCAAGCATGTTGAGCGCTCCCGGGGTGACATGCTGTGGAGGACTTGCTCCAACTCAGACTGCTTCCGTCTGATAGAGAGATTTATTTCCTGACAGCTGACAGAGTGCCCTGCAATAGCTGACAATCCCTGGTGTGGCTGGATCAGTAGCTCCAGGAAGAAGTTCTCTGAACTCTCTGAAGCTGCGAGTTTTGCTTTTACGTAAAAAATGACTATTTCAGTACTCTGAAAGATCTAAGTGGCTTATTCTTTTATCTTTTAGAAATTCAAACCACTCCTCTTTACCTTTAAGCATAAAACTTCCCTCATAGCTGTGTTCCTTATGTCTTTTTAACCTGCTGTTTTCTTTTGTGCCAGAATCTGTTTCACTGAAATAAAGCTAATGTCAAGCTAGGCATTCCCATTCAGGATTGTAATTCTAAGGTGATCTTCCAGTATAGTGTGAAAGAGCTGATCAAAATCTGGACTAGACAATTTTGCCAATGAATTCTTACTCCATAGCTTATTTGGAGAGATGCAAACTTGTTCAAAAGAAATATCCAGCTTAATCCCTTAATTACCAAATATTAATAAATAAGCTAAAAGACTGATGTAATATCTACAAACATTTCATAAAATATAATACTTTTTTAAAAAATCTCTAAATTTTTCTTTTTATCTGAATGAACCTAATTGTACTGCATAACACAGAGAAATTTTGGATGTTGTATCTTTACTGAATTAGAAACAGTTGTGGTCATATTTCTTTATTGAGGAAGATTTATGTAAATGAATTGCAGAT